>NC_000011.10:107172424-107475454 GCF_000001405.40 Homo sapiens
CATACCATTTTCTCTTTATTAGTTGCTCATGCTTCATAAAGGTCATGCCTTCATATCTTTTACTGAGAGCACTAAACAGATATTATCTAGCTATTCTGATACTTCTTGTCGCAAATAATTTTTAGAGGCATATTTTTCCTTTGAGTCTTCAGATTAACATAACTTTTTGGTGCTATAGAATATTTTATAGAACCAATTTTGCTTTTCATTGCTTATTTGTTTATATTTATGCCTGACTGAGTTGAGATCTCTTTAGGTCTAGCATTGCCAACAGACATGGTAAATTGTGTGTCGTTAAGCATCTCTTTATTGGACATTTGGGGCATTAGATGGCTTCTCTCAAATCTAAACTTAGAAACATAGTAATGAGTATATCCTTAATCCAATTTATGGTGTGCAGCAAGTATTTATGCCTTGTGGCTCTGCTGAAATATGTTAAAATATTCTGTTTTTGTTGTTGAATTCTCCATGTTAGACAATAAAAATGCATATCCTGGGATGCAAGGAATTAACGCACATCCTCTTTTCCCCTGTTTTTGTGTACTAAAAGCTAAAATCAGTGTAAGAAGAGACGACTTGTTTTCATGGTTTAGAGCAGGAGGTGAAACGCTGGGACACTGGTATAAGACATTTACTACTTCAGAAAATATTTCCTGTGCAGTATGGGGGTGACCTGCTTGACATGTACAGCCTTTTTGTTCCTGGGCTGGAAGAAGGTAGATAAAATGAGTCAAACCCTTCTCATGCAAAGGAGTCAGCATGCATAGCCTAGGGAAGTGTTTCTCAATCTAATCCAGTCAGTTTTTCAATTCCTGGGAACTCCTCTCAAATGTTAATTTATAGTACACTCTTATTCATTCCCAGTACTGTCAAAAATTTTATATATCCTAAGTATTTTTTTTAAAGAAAAATCTGGAGAAGACAGCATGCCACTACATTGCCTCAGAATTTTCAGTGATCTCTTGTAACAGACTTTGTATGTGTTTCCATTTTTTTACTTCCTCCAACTGACAGTCACTACATATAATTTCCCCACCTGTCTTGCCTTTAAGTTTAAAAATCTAATACCATATATTAAGAGTAAATAGAAGATTATTGAGAGAGTCCCTTACTTATCAAATTAAAATCCTAATTCTCAGTGATGGAGCGCAATCTCTGAAAATAGTAAACATTGTAGTGTATGCACAAACCAGTCCCTTTGCACAGAATCCTCTGCCTATCTGCAGACTAGTCGGCAACAGAGAACAAAAAAGTGCAGAACTGTAGACATTTTTTAACCTGAAAATAAAATCTCTTTTAAGAAACATTTAACTTTTTTTTTTTTATCTTGCACAGACCAACTTCAAGCCATCTCCTTCAAGAAATACTTCCCTTCTGATTCTTCCTTCCTGTGCTTAGCAACAAGGTCAGACAGTTTAACTTGAAAAAGCAAAATTGAGTAAAGTACTTGTTAATAGTATGTTGCTATGTTGGATTTGGAATACACTGAGACATTTTATCTTGTTTTTTTAAAAATAAAATTCTAAAATATTATTTTATTACTTTTTCAGATAAAATGATTAAAATCATTAAAATTGAATTGTGTTCTTTGTTCCTCAAACTCTGGAATCAACCAATAAAATAAGGATAAAGTAGTGTCTTCTTCAGAGTGCTACTGTGAAGACTAAGACAAGATATGTAATGTACTTAAATAAAAATAAAACTATCAATATTACTGATGAGAAGTGCTAACTATAAGCACAGAACCACAAATTTATTTGTGTATACTACAGAGAATTATAAAGAAAAAGGAAAGCAATAAGTATAGTTTTTGACCCAATAATTATAATTTTTTAACATTGTGGCTGTATTGTTTTTTCTCTATTCCACAAAATACAAAGCATGATATTCAACCCAGAGGAAAAACACTGTTGTCTTGATAGGTACAATGGTAATTTCAAACCTGCTTCGTTAGACTATAAATTCTTAAAAAGTAGAGATTACACCTAGTTAATTCTGCCTATAACCAAGTCCAAAACCATGCATATGGGCAACTCAATGAGCCACGTTCTATCCTGATTGGACATTACCTAGGTAATCCCTTAGTTATATTTTCAGTTCCTACTTTTCAGTTGAATTTTGCAATTTGTGAAATTGATGTGTCCACTATGCCCAGATGATTAAATATTCATCCAATATTTATTGAGCACATTCTAGGAGTCAGCCAATGTGGTAATTGCCTGGGAGACAATCCCAAGTCACCACTTCTATCTTCAAAGATCTCACAGCCTAGCAGAGGGAATAGACTATTTTAAAAAATCACAACTCAGTATGACAAGTGCCGTGGATACTATGGAATAAAATTTGGGAATCCCCTAGCTGAACTGATGGGGTCATGGTTAACCTGAAAAGCAAGTAGGAGTTAGCTATGGAATGAGGAGTCCCACCTGCAGCCAACCTTATACTGCAGAGGGGTTGATGCCTTGACACTGGCAACAGACGCTTGGGTTTGGATTCCCCCTCAGCCAATTCTGAGCTTAGTGAGCTTTAACAAATCCCTTAACCCCTTGGAGATTTTTCTGCAAAATGAGGATTATAATAGTTTCTAATTAATGGAGTCGTGGGGACCAAATTGGTTAAGTAGAGCTTTTACCAGGCCCTGCTACACAGCAAGCCCTAGCTCAGCGTGAACTTTTATTATCATTATTATTGGTTTGCTGCTTTCTCCCGGTGGCCTTCCCTGAAGTTTCCAATCAAGTTATAAGTTTCCTTGTATGTGCTCACATCTCAGGCACAGTAGGACAGCAGCATCAAGGCCATTCAGCAAAGGTTCCGATCAGAGCTCATAAGATCTCACTTAAGCCTTATCTGAATAATGTGCTAGAGGAACTTTCCTGTTGAAAAAGGAAGGAGCTTACCTCTTCAGAGTGCCACTAGATGATTAGAGGCAAAATGTCACGTTGATGTAAATATGAGAATTTAGTTATGGAAGGTGGGAGTGTTTGCTTAAAATGACAGTAAAGCTGAATTTTTATGAATGGCTTTTTATTATACAAGACATCTATGTTCAGTGAAGAAACTTAGAAAGTATAGACAATCAATAATTTATACAAATTATAATCAGCTGTAATCCCACTGCCCATTAAAAAAAGTACTATGGCATTTTGATGCAAATGTTTCTACACATGCATACTCTGAGAAAAATGCATGTACCCTTCTGCTTCTCTCCTTACTAACCCCACACATACACTCACTTGAACATCTCTTAGGAAGAGATCATTTGTCATTTGATTGGCCAGAGTTCATAGTTAACCAGTGGACCAAGTTATTATTCCTTAAAGACCCCAAGTCCTCCTTTGGCTCACTTTTTTCTATGACTCGGTGATAAGAAAAACCAAGGAATACAAAGAGGGTTGTTCGTGTGTGTGTCCCATCTGCTATGTAACTATAATTAAATAGGCAGGGGTAGACTCTGTTTACCCATCCATCCTAGACGCAGGAGGCTTCACTTAAAGTAAAGGTCTCTGGATGTAACCATGTTCTCCTATCCATCTTTTAACAGAAAACTCACAAGGTGAACTAGGTGCTTATCCAGTTACTAATAAACAATATCATCTTCTACCATTCCTTGAGTATCACTTGCTTGGTTGGCAACACCCTGAGAAAGACACATGATCAGCACAACAGAATCTTCACAGCCCTGCATCCCTGACCATAATACCATTACAGCAATACCAAATTCTCACCTCTAATCTTTAAAAATACACACAAATAAATAAACCCATTCATTTTTATAAAAATGAAATTATCCTGCTCTGTCGCCTGCCATGGCTGCCCCAGCCCGAGTGGTTCATTGCACTGTGGAGTCAGATTCCGGACGGTATGTCCAGCAAAGGCTCTATAGTTCTGGCCTGCAGTGGCAGCCTGGACACCTTCTGCATCCTCGTGTGGCTGAAGGAACAAGGCTATGACGTCATTGCCTACCTGGCCAGCATTGGCCAGAAGGAAGACTTCCAGGAAGCCAGGAAGAAGGCACTGAAGCCTGGGGCCAAAAAGATGTTAATTGAGGATGTCAACAGGGAGTTTGTGGAGGAGTTCATCTGGCCGGCCATGCAGTCCAGCACACTGTATGAGGACCGCTACCTCCTGGGAACCTCTCTCGCCAGGCCCTGCATCACCCACAAACAAGTGGAAGTCGCCCAGCGGGAGGGGGCCAAATATGTGTCCCACGGCACCACGGGAAAGGGGAATGATCAGGTCTGGTTTGAGCTCACCTGCTACTCGCTGGCCCCCACAGATAAAGGTCATTGCTCCCTGAAGTATGCCCGAATTCTACAACCGGTTCAAGGGCCACAGTGACCTGACGGAATATGCAAAGCAACGCGGGATTCCCACCCCGGTCACTCCCAAGAACCCGTGGAGCATGGACGAGAACCTCATGCACATCAGCTGCGAGGCTGGAATCCTGGAGAATCCCGAGAACCAAGCGCCTCCAGCTCTCTACACGAAGACCCAGGACCCGGCCAAAACCCCCAACACCCCTGACATTCTCGAGATCGAGTTCAAAAAAGGGGTCCCCGTGAAGGTGACCAACGTCAAGGATAGTGCCACCCACCAGACCTCCTTGGAGCTCTTCATGTACCTGAACGAAGTCGCGGGCAAGCACAGCGTGGGCAATATTGCCATCGTGGAGAACCGTTTCATTGGAACGAAGTCCCGAGGTATCTACCGGGCCCCAGCAGGCACCATCCTTTGCTACGCTCATTTAGACATCGAGGCCTTCACCATGTACCGGGAAGTGCACAAAATCAAACAATGCCGGGGCTTGAAATTTGCTGAGCTGGTGTATACTGGTTTCTGGCTTTCCGGCACAGCCCTGAGTGTGAATTTGTCCGCCACTGCATCGCCGAGTCCCAGGAGTGAGTGGAAGGGAAAGTGCAGGTGTCTGTCCTTAAAGGCCAGGTGTACATCCTTGGCTGGGAGTGCCCCACTGTCTACAACGAGGAGCCGGTGAGCATGAACGTGCAGGGTGATTATGAGCCAATTGATGCCACCGGGTTCATCAACATCAATTCCCTCAGGCTGAAGGAATATCATCGTCTCCAGAGCAAGGTCACTGCAAAATAGACCCCCGTACAAGGAGGAGCTGGGGCCTCCTCAATTTGCAGATCGCCCAAGTAAAGGCGCTAATTGTTGTGATAATTTGTACTTGTGACTAGTTCTCCCCGGCTGGCAGCATAGTGGGGCTGCCAGGCCCCAGCTTTGTTCCCTGGTCCCCTTGAAGCCTGCAAACGTCGTCATCGAAGGGAAGGATGGGGGGCAGCTGCGGTGGAGAGCTGTAAAATGACAAAAGATACACTAGTCAAAAAAATGAAATTATACCGTACATATCAACTTATTAACTAAGTTAATAATAACCCAATCATGTATTTTTATATTGATGAATACATACATAAACATGTCTGCTTCCTCATTTTTTATTTTTTTACTTACATTAATGATTTTGTTGTGTGAATACTACCACAGTTTATTGAACCAATCTTCTCTCATTGGAGAGTTAAATTGTTTTTAAGCTTTGACTATTAAAAACAATGTCTCAGTGAAAATCCCTCCCTCTACATGTACCCTTGTGATTGTGACTGACTATACCCAAAGACCATATTCTTCCCTGCACCATGGCAAATATACGTAATATCCTACCATCATTTCTACCAAAGCTTGACTTCCCCAGGTCTGTATCTAGGTAGCTAGAAGCAGCTCATAACTACTTCACTTCAGATGAAACCGCATGTAAATGGCCTGAGCAGCCTGGAGCTCCACAATTAGATTAATTGGGCCCCCAGGTGACTAATCTTGAATTTCTAATGAGTTCATTGGAATAGAAGGAACTGCAAATCTGAATTCAGATGTCAGAGTCAGGACTAACAATATGAAGCACAGGCCCAGTGCAGTGGCTTACTCCTGTAAGCCCAGCGCTTTGGGAGGCCAAGGCAGGCAGATCACTTGAGGCCAGGAGTTGGAGACCAGCCTGGCCAAAATGGAGAAACCCTGTGTCTACCAAAAAATAGAAAAATTAGCCAGGTGTGGTGGTGGGCACCTGCAGTCCCAGCTACTCGGGAGACTGAGGTGGGAGGATGGCTTGAACCCACGAGGCAGAGGTTGCAGTGAGACGAGATCATGCCACTGCACTCCAGCCTGGGTGACAGAGCAAGACTTTTTCAAATACATATAGCACAATCAACACGCAGAGAGGCAAAAACCTAACTGTGGCTAATTTATCCTACCTGCTGAAGCTCTTACTGTCTGAGCTACTGGACTGGGGGGCAGGTATGAGAGGTAACACTTACTGGACCTTACAGTCATAGCAGGCCAGGCTGGGATAATTAAGAGAATATTTTAGAAAGTTTTCAGGATATGGCTAGAGCCACAAATCAAAGGTGTTTTTTTCAAACGTATACTATCTTTCTCATAAGTGTAGATGACTCAAGAGACAATTTTAGGTCCATAAAATTTTAGGGACACCACAAAACTAGAGTTTTCCAACTCAATGAAACACTGCCATTGATGTGTTTAAAATAGAAACTCAAATTTATAAATAATAATAGTAATGATAATACTCATCATCTTTTAAAATAATTTTTTTTTAAATTAAAAACAGAGCTGGTGACCTTCACAAAGCAAACTAGGGAATACGTCAGTATCCTGGCACTTGAGCAGAATTTCTAGGGCCCGTGTGAATTCTCTCCAGCCCAGAGAATGACTTAAAGAAAGAAAAAATAAAAGCCCTGTAATTTACATCTGTTGTTTTAGTCCTCACCTGTTGTTTTAGTCCTCACCTTATGGAATTGTCAATCACATATTCCTTCCTCCCTCACCATAACAGAAGGCATGTGACGAGACTGTCTAATCAAAGTACCTCATGCTTCAAGATTGGCCCAGAGGCACATTCATGACTCAAGTATAGCCAATAACAGTCATTTATCAAAAGTTTATAGGGAGCTGAGAGAGAATTTCTCTCCTGCAGAGAGCATATGCCCATGGACCATGTAAAACACAGTTCTGTCAGGTGGCATCTTAGTCATTACATAGAAAAAGCCTCTCAAGATACTCAAGTTCTCTCTTTTAGTTACCTCTCTTTGAAGTAAATTTATTTTGCAGCTAAAAGAATTCCCACCTAAAACTCCTAGGATCATTTGATTCCTAAAAAGATCATCTGAGTCTAAAGAAAAGGTGAATGTGAAACTGGAAAATTCATCACAATTCAATTATAAGTTGGATATAACATTAAGATTTGGTTCCAGATTGATTTGTGCTTTCTAAAATTACTTGTGTTGCAGAATACGTTTGACCTCACACTCACATTTCTTTCTGGAGAGGTCACTGACCAAACTGAGAATAATTATGTTTCCTTCATTACTCAGTCATTCATTCATTCAAATTAGTACATGACAATTTTTCCCATCTTCCTAAAAATCATTTCACATGACCTGCTTTATCACGTTATCTTTATTCAAATAACAACCCCAAGTATTGCTCTTACCCTAAAACATTTTTCAAATAATTGTAACAGGGGAGGAGGAAAAGGGGAGTTGTGGTTTAATGGCTATAGAGTTTCAGTTCTGCAAGATGAAAAAGTGCTGGAGATGTTTCACAACAATGTGAAACAGCTTGAATGTGGATATACTCAACACACTAAACCATGCACTTAAAAATGGTTAAGATGGTAAATTTTATATTATGTATTTTTAATACAATAAAAAATTGTAACAGCACAAAACAATAAAATATGTTTTAATACTTTATGATGTTATAGGCTGAATTCAGCTGATGAAGAAAGATATATTATTGGAAACACTTACTGAAAACTTGGAAGGGAAGCTGAATCCCAGGACCTTAAATTTGTCTTGGCACCTAGGCTTCTCAAAATAAGGACAGATATTTCATGTAACAGATGACAAAAGAGTTGGAGTTCCTGGAAGAAATCTAGGGCAGAGAGACAAAAAACATTAAAATGGTCGGAGCTTGTTAATTTGACCCCTCCCCATGACCACATGAAATGTTTGGTGCCAGTCAATTCTTTTGGGAGCAATTCACAAAGACATTTCATTACACATCTGGGTCAATGCTGCAGCTCAGAGGAGCCATTGAGAAGCAAGGTTGAAAAGGTCCCAAATGATGTTTGTATTAAAAGAGTTTACAAGGCACTTTCCTATTCATAATCTAACTAGTCTCCATGGCAACATAAAAATGGGCATTAGCATAAGTTCCATTTTACAGACAAGATAACTAAGGCCCATAAAATCTAGGCATGTTATCCAAAGTCATACAAGCAAGAAGAGATTAGCCTAGTCCTCTAAATCAAGATCCCATACTCTTTCCACATACATTTCCACATTGTCCTCCCCTGACACTGTGCAAGAACCTGAACCTGCTTCCCTAGTGTCAGCTCAAACCACAAAACAGCTCATCTAAATTGTGTAAAATGTGAGATTAGCACAAGTAATATGAGTATATTAGTCCACTCCAGCACTGCTATGTTGAAACACATGAGACTGGGTCATTCACAAAGAAAAGAGGTTTAATTTGCTCATGTTTCCTCAGGCTGTAGAGAAAGCATGGCTGGGGAGGCCTCAGGTAATATACAACCATCGGCAAAAGGCAAAGAAGAAGCAGGCCCATCTTCACATGGCCAGAGCTAGAGGAAGGAGGAGGGGGTGTGCTACATACTTTTAAACAAGATCTCGTGAGAACTCACAATCAGGAGAACAGCAAGGGGGTAATCCACCCCATAATCCAATCACCTCCTACTAGGCCCCTCTTCCAACATTGGGGATTATAATTCAACATGAGATTTGGGCAGGGATACAAATCCAAACCATATCACTGAGACTGAGCCCCTTTTTGAGTGAAGAAGCCAAACCATGATTCTATTCATTTTTAAATCCCCAGTGCTAGGTTCCTGGTAGTTATTCCTAATATGTTTGTTGAATATATACCATTTCAATGGTATAAATTTATATCACCTCTCATGTCAACCTAGTGGAATATAAAATGGATCATATATTAATTTATTGATGGAATTGAATGAATTCCAATTTATCTGATTGTTTCCCTGATGTTATAGGGTTTTCCAGGCTAGGACTTTTTCCACATATTATATTTTCCCTTAAAGACATTGTCTATCAATGCAAATAAAAAATACAATGAGATACTGTCTCACACTAGCCAGAATAGTTATTATTAAAAATCAAAAAACAACAGATGCTGTGAAGGCTGCACAGAAAAGGGAACACTTATCCACTGTTGGTGGGAATGTAAATTAGTTCAAGCACTGTGGAAAACAGTTTGAAAATTTCTCAAAGAACTTCAGTCAGAACTACCTTTCGACCCACCAATCCTATTACCGGGTATATATCCCATAGCAAATAAATCATTCTACCAAAAAGACACTTGCACTTATATGTTTATTGCAGCACTCTTCAAAATAGCAAAGACATGAAATCAACCTAGGTGCCCATCAACAGTGGATTGAATAAAGAAAAAAATGTGATATATATATATACATACACACACACACACACACACACACACACACACACCATGGAATACTATGCAGCCATAAAAAGAATGAAATCATGTCCTTTGAAACAACATGGATGCAACTGGAGGCCATTATCCTAAGTGAATTAACGCAGGCACAGGAAACAAAATACTGCATGCTGTCACTTCTAAATGAGAGCTAAACATTGGGTACTCATGGACATAAAGACAGCAACAATAGACCCTGGGAACTACTAGAGGGGGAAGGGAGGGAGGGAAAAGGGGGCTGAAAAACTACCTATTGGGTGCTATGCTCACTCTCTGGGTGACAGGATCATTCGTACCCCAAACCTCAGCATCAGGCAATATGCCCAGGTAACAAATCCAGCACATGTACCCCTTGAATCTAAAATAAAGGTTGAAATTATATATTTTTAAAGGCATTTTATATCCTTAAAACTGCTACAGTAGTGACATTGGAGAGCTTATTGATGTGAAGTGCAATTCTCAGAATTAGACCACCGAAAATCTGAGTTCAGTAACCTTTATTATTCCTACCATTTTAAGCTTAAAATCTTTGAAATGCATTATGTCACTTGAAAGACATTGAAATATTCATTTTATTCTTTTTCTTTGCATGTAATTATTCAAATGAAAGATGCTTAAAACTTGGTCTCCTTTGGAAACTTTTGCAGTAGTAATTCACTGCCTCCAAATAATTCAAAGTATGTGGTTTTTGAGGTGTGTGGATGGTTGCGTTTGTACTCTCTTACTTACGACATGAGAGCAGTAGCTTTTTGTTCTCAATTATGCCAATTGTAAGAAACAGTCACAAAAATGTAGACAAAGAAAAGTAGAAGAGGTGACCAGCAGTCTCCTTAAGGCAGTATGGCAGAATGAAAAAAAATCTAGTTCTTGAGCTCTGGATTTGTGATCTTGGACCAATCACTTCACCTCTCTTTGCTTTATTTACTTCACTGTAAAAAATAAATGGCAGGATCACTTCTTAAAGCCACTTAAGGTTCTGAAGAGGTGCCACAGGGATGAAAGGAGTGAACAAAGCCAGAGATGATGTGGTCCTTCCATCAGCTCCAGTCAGAAGAACTTCACCTTGACCTATGTTATTAATGATTGAACTTTTGAGTAAGATTTAATTCAACCAAAAAGTATTCCATGCCTAATAATACTTGAAAACCACTGACCTACTATCCTTTTATGATTCAACATTCCTTGCCTCTGATCTCACTCTAAAAACTACTTGTCTAAATTTTCCCATTATACTATTCATAACTGTAAGAGGTGTGCCTACCATTGCAAATTCATGATGCTGTTGTGACCTTTCCCACTGAGGGTGTTTAATAGAATTAAATAGAATAAGTTTTAAGCTATTTGCCAGGTGTTTTCACATTTATGATCTCATGTAATTGACATATATTTGCTGACCTTCATCAATTTGTACCACTAAGCTGGCTATTTTAAGAGTTCAAAAGGCATGTAAAGAGGTAGTATGGCATGAGTAATTCTATACAAATTTAAAGCAAAACAATATGGTTATTAAAAAGAGCTTGGGGCCAGGCTCGGTGGCTCACGCCTGTAATCCTAGCACTTTGGGAGGCTTGAGGTCAGGAGTTTGAGACCAGCCTGACAACATGGTGAAACCCTGTCTCTACTAAAATACAAAACATTAGATGGGCATAGTGGCACACTCCTGTAATCACAGCTACTTGGGAGGCTGAGGCAGGAGAATCCCTTGAGCCCAGGAGGCAGAGGTTGCAGTGAGCCGAAATTGTGCCACTGCACTCCAGCCTAGGCGACAGAGTGAGACCCTGTCTAAAAAATAAAAAATAAAAATAAAAAAGAGTTTCGGCTCTGGAATAAAGCATGTGTGTTTGCCAATGCTGGCTCTACCACAGATGAACATAAATTTGTGCAATTTCTCTAACCTTTCAGGCTCGGGTTTTTCACCTGCAACGTGGAGAGAAGGTCTATCTCATAGCATGACTCTTTAAATTAATAGAAATATTTAACATGTATCGAGGGCTTCAAATGTGTCAGGTACTCTAAGTCTTTCACATGGACAATCTAATTTACTCCTCACATTAACCAAATGAGGTTATTTTTAGCCCCAGTTTACATATGAAATAATAACTGAAAACAGAGAAGCTTGTCCAGCTGGCATGCAAAGGAGCCGCATTTTAAATCCAGAGAGTCTAACTCCAGAGTCCACAAGCTTAATCACTGCACCATGAGGTAATGCACAGGCAAGCATCTAACACACTGCCTAGAACTGAGGAGATGCTCAGTAATAACAAATTCCTTCCTCTATTAGGCTCATTCCACTCTCTTTACAGCAGAGGTGGAGATGTTGAATAATAAATAACAACACAGTATGCTACCAGCCACAAACAAATGCTTAAGAACACATGCCTACTGTTCATTCCATAACAGAATAAACATTAAGAAAATAAAGTGTCTGTCAGTCGCAGAGAGAAATTTGTTGAAGGAGTGAACTTTTGGCTGGACCTTACAGAATATGTGTGTTTGAAAAGACTAGGAGAAAACAAGTCAGCATTTGAAAAAACAGACCATAAACAAAGTCATGGAGCTACAGACAAATATGGAGATTGGGGGAAGGAAGATAAGTTGGAGACATACACAATTGCTCTGTAACTTTATAAACACACTCTCCTTTAGGCAGATCTAACATATTTTAAAAATTTTTTGGATTTTCAGGCAACAAATTAGCAATCATCATTAAGCTTACGAAAGTATTCTTCTTAGAAGAATTAGCTGAAGAGGTTATCTTTAATGAGCTCCTTTCTGGAATTTAAAAGTGTTTCATTTTCAAAAAATAAATTAACTTACATGCTATTTTTAAATATATGGACATTCATAAAGCAGTGGGATACATGCTTATTCTAAGAGCAGAAAACTTTTCCTTCAAACCAAATTATTTCATAAGATCTCGATATATACAGCAGACAAGAAAAAAAGCACTGTGCTGGCTGGAGCCAAGATGTTAAGTATAAAGTCCTGTGTAACCCTGTAGAGCCTAGATCAGTAAGCAAAAACCCCTCACAAAGGAGTAACACCTCTCTGAGCTCAAATGATTGTGCCAATTTTCTCTGCTCAAAAAAAATGTAATATCCAACAAGCCTCTCTGGCTAATGTTGGTTGTATAATGTCACCATTGGCCCAGATTTGATCTCAAACAGCAGTACCAGATGGTGAGAGGGTAGCTGATAGACTCTGCCAACCTTAAGACAGGTAAAGCTAACATAACCCATGTGGAATGTTGTTATGTTGAATAGTATTTTACTTGCCTTTTCTATTTCTATTTTTTGGTGTGTAATATGTTATTTCTTCACACCATTTCTTACAAGTTAAAAAAAGTAAATGACACCCAGAGAGAGTTGGTATAATGCCAGGTTTCTCCATGATTGTAGGACAAAGCCAAGTGGAGTTTTTCTCCCCATTCTTTTATCGAAAAACTTGAATTTCTAATCTTTTTTGATAAGCATGGCCCACCTAGGTTAGCTTGTTGACTTTCATTTTGTGTACAACCACCCACGACATCACAAGAACAAAATATTAGTATTTTTGCAATGTATAACAAAATCAAGCACTTGAGAAATTCATATCTGTCCAAATGATAATAACTGATAACAGAAAAGGAATTTCCATTCTCTAAAAGCAGGTTCCATAGGGCCCTATAGAATTGCTTCACTCACTAATAATAAAACTGTCTACAAAAAAAAAAAGGAATGAAATGGGCAATCATGTCTATCTCCAAAAAAGGAGTATAAACTTATCCATATGTGTTGTTTTTATTTTTAATTACTTTCCCGCTTTTTTGTGTTACAATTGACAAATAAAAATTATACTTAAAGTATATGTGATATTTTGATATATCTATACATTGCAAATGATTACCACAAGCTAGCTAACATATTCATCACCTCGCATAGCTACTTTTGGGTGTATTTATGTGGGCTAATAATATTTAAGATCTACTCTATTCTCAAATTTTAAATATACATTATAGGATTATTAACTATAGTTACCATGCTGAACAGTATATCTGCAGATTTATTCATCCTGCATAACTGCAACTTTGTACCTTTGACTAACATATCTCCATTTCCCCATTCCCCCACCCCCTGCAGACACAATTCTACTCTCTGGTTCCATGAGATCAACTTTTTTAGATTCCACATATAAGTGAGATCATGCAGTATTTGTTCCTAGTTTATTTCATTTAGCATAATGTCATCCAGGTTTATCCACTGTCACAAATGACAAGATTTCCTTTTTTATTAAAATTGTTACTATTTAACTGACAAATATAAATTATACATATATATATGGTATACAACATGATATTTTGAAAGATGTATATTGTGGAACGGCAAAATCAAATTAATTCATATATGTATTATCTCACATACTTTTTATTTGGTGAGAACACTTAAAATATATTCTCTTAGCAATTGTAAGTTTACAGAATTTTAAATTGTATATAACATACTTAAAGTAGTATATATTGTCATTATACATATGTTAAGAATACAATTATCAGCTACAGTCATCATGTTGTACAATAGGTCTCTAGAACTTATTTCTCCTAACTGAAATTTTGTGCCCTTTGAGCCACATCTCTGCAATCTCCCTCAACCCCACCCAGGCTCAGGTAACCACCATTCTACTCTTTTCCTCTGTGAGTCTGGCTTTCTTAGAATCTACATACAAGTGACATCATGTGGCATCAGTCTTTCTGTGCCTGGCTTACTTCATTTAACATAGTGTCCCCAGGGTTCATCCATGCTGCTCCAAATAACAGAGGCTCCTTCTTCCTTAAGGCTGAATGGTATTCCACTGTGTACGTATACCACATTTTCTGTACCCATTCATCTACTGATGATCACTTAAGTTGATACTATATCTTGGTTATTGTGAATAATGCTGCAATGAATATGGGAGCTCAGGTATCTCTTCAAGATAGTGATTTCATTTCCTTTATATAGGATACATACCTAGTAGTGGGATTGCTGAGTCATAGGTAGTTTTAAGTTTTTTTAGGAAACTCCATACTGTTTCCCATAATAGCTACACCAATTTACATTCCCACTAACAGTGTACAAAGTTTCAACAGCCTCATCAACACTTGCTATCTTTTGTCATTTTGATAGTAGCCATTCTAATAAGTAGGAGGTGATATTTCACTGCGGTTTTGATTTTCATTTCCCTAATGATTAATAATGTTAAGCATCTTTCCATATACCTGTTGGGCATTTGTATCTCCTCTTTACAGAAATGTCTATTTAGGTCTTGTGCCCATTATTTCTAAAAACCAAGTTATTTGTTTTCTTGCTATTGAGTTGTATGAGTTCCTTATCTACAAGAGGTCTTTGAAAAAAATGTGGAAATTTCATCTTATGGAAAAACTATGCATGGATTTCAATATTTCTTGCACCAAAATAATTTTATACCAACTTATTACAACATGATTAAATAAGTTCTAGTTTGAAACACTAAGAAGGATAAGACATCAGTTTGAAAGAGCCCCTATAAAAGGATATGAATTCTGCTAAAACTGAAGCAAGAACAAACATCAAATTTATGGTGAAGCTTGGGTGGAAGAATAGTGAAATCATTTAAGCTTTATAAAATGTTTATGGGGATAATACCCCAAAGAAATCCACAGTTTACAAATAAATAACTCATTTTATGAAAGGATGAGGTGATATTGAAGATGAAGCCCATAGTAGCTGACCATCCACATTAATTTGCAAGGAAAAAATTAATCTTGCTCATTCCCCAATTGAAGAGGACCAATGATTAACAGCAGAAACAACAGGCAACACCACAGTCATCTTAATTAGTTCGTCTTACACAATTCCGACTAAAAAATAAAAGTTGAGGAAACTTTCCACTTGATGGGTGTCAAAACCATTGCACCCAGATTAGCTGCAGATAAGAGCAGGGCTTTCAATGGAAATTTTTAAAAATTGGGATCAAGATCCTGAAGCAGTTCTTCCAAAGAATTGTAACAACATATGAAATATGGCTTTACCGGTATGATCCTGAAGACAAAGTACGTCAAAGCAATGGTTACCAAGAAATGGAAATGATCCAGTCAAAGCAAAAACAGGCCAGTCAAGAGCAAATATCATGGCAACAGTTTTTTTGGATTCTCAGAGCATTTTGCTACTTGATTTTCTAGAGGGCCAAAGAATAATAACATCTGTTGATTACAAGGGTATTTTGAGAAAGTCAGCCAAAGCTTTAGCAAAAACAAATGCCCGGGAAATATTCACCAGAGTTCTTTTCCGCCATTGCGATGCTCTTGAGCATTCATCTCATCAAACAAGGGCAATTTTGCAAGAGTTCCTATGAGACATCATTCAACATCCATCTTACAGGGCTGATTTGGCTCTTTTTGACTTCTTTTTGTTTTCTAATCTTAAAAAATATTTAAAGGGCAACCATTTTTCTTCAGTTAATAATAAAAAGATGGCATTGACATGGTTAAATTCCCAGGATCCACAATTATTTAGAAATGGACTAAATGGCTGCTTTCATTGCTTACAAAAGTGTGTTGAATTTGATGGAGTTTACATTGAGAAACAAAGTTTATATTTTTTATCTGTTAATTCCATTTTTCCACAAACTTTTTGAAGTTCCTTCATATTTTGAATATTAACTACTTATCTGATGAATGACCTGAATTTTTTTCAATTCTCTGGGTTGTCTCCTCATTTTGTTAATTGTTTTCCTTACTATGCAGAAGCTTTTTCAGTTGATGTAGTGCCACTTGTCTAGTTTTGCTTCCATTGCCTGTGATTTTGGAGTCATGTCCAAAAAATTATTGCCCAAACCAATGTCAAGAAGCATTTTCCCTATGTTTTCTTCTGGTAGTGTTACAATTTCAGGTCTTACATTTAAGTCTTTATTTTCAGTTGATTTGTGTAAGATAAGGTTCTAATTTCTTTCTTCCATGTGTGGATATCCAGTTGTCCCAACACCATTTATTAAAAAAAAAAACAAAAAACCTAGTCTTTCTCCATCGTGAGAGTTCTTGAAAACTATGTCAAAGACAAATTGACTGTAAATGTGTGGATTTGTTTTAAGGCTCTCTATTCTGTTTAATTGGTCCATATGTCTGTTTTTATACTAGTACTATACTGTTTTGATCACTGTTGTGGTATATTTTGAAATCAGGTACTGTGATGCCATCAGCATTGTTCTTCTTGCTAAAAATTGCTTTTGCTATTTGGAGGTCTTTGGTGGTTCCAAACAAACTTTAAGATTGTTTTTTCTATTTCTGTGAAAAATATCATTGGACTCTTAACAGGAATTTCATTGAATCTGTAGATTACTTTGGGTGGTGTACATATTTTAACAATATTAATTATTTGCATCCACAAACAGGGATATCTTTCCATTTCTTTGTGTCTACTTTGGTTTCTTTCATCAAGGTTTTACAGTTTTAAGTGTACAAATATTTCACCTCTTGGTTAAATTTATTCCTAAGTATCTTTTGTGTGCTATTATAAATGGGAGTCTTTCCTTAATTTCTGTTTCTGGTAATTAGTTTTTAGTGTATAGAAAAACAATTTTGTAAGTTGATTTTGCATCTTGCAACTTTACTGAGCTTTTTCTTTGGTTCTAACAGATTTTTTGGTGAAATCTTTAGGGTTTTCTATATATAAGATCATATCATGTGCATACAGAGACAATTTTCCTTCTTTGTTTTCAGTCTGGATGCATTTTATATTTTTTTCTTGACTAATTGCTCTGACTAGGTCTTACAGGTTCATATCGAATACAAGTGGTAAGAGGGAGCATCCTTATCTTGCTTGTGGATCCTAATGAAAAAGCTAAAGCTTTTCACCATTTCAGATGTTAGCTGTGGGCTCTTCAATGTTGCATGTGTTAGCTGTGATGTCATATATGGCCTTCATTATATTGAGATACATTCCTTCTATACTTAATTTGTTGAGAGTTTTCAACAAAAAGGAATGTTGTAAAATGCTTTTTCTGCATCTAATGAGAAGATTACATGGTGTTTTTATTCTTTATTCTGTTGATGTAGTATATCACATTGATTGATTTGTGTATGTTGAACCATGCTTGCATCCCAAGGATAAATTCCATCTGATTATGGTTCATAATTTTTTTAATACATTGTTGAAGTCAGTTGGCTGTGTTTTGTTGAGCATTTTTGCATCTATAATTATCAGAGATATTATGGTGGAATTTTCTTTTCTTGCAGTGACCTTATCTAGCTTTGACTCCAAGGTAACACTGTCCTCAGAAAATTAGTTTGAAAGTGTTCCCTTATCTTCAAATTTTTGGAAGAGTTTGGGAAAAGTGGATATTAATTCATCTTTATATGTTTGGTAGAACACACAATTGAAGTTATCAAGTCCTGGACTTTTCTTTGTGCGAGAGGTTTTTGATTACTAATTCAATCTTATTACTCATTACTGGTCTGTTCAGATTTTGTATTTCTTTATGATTCAGTCTTAGTAGATTGTATGTTTCCATAAATGTATCCATTTCTTCTAGGTTTTCCAGGTGATTGGCAAATAACTGTTCATAGTAGTCTCTTTTGATCCTTTGTATTTCCTTGGTATCAATGTAATATCTCCTCTTTCATTTCTGATTTTATGTATTTTTCTTCTCTCCTTTTTTTAGTTAGTATAGATAAAGGTTTGTCAATTTTGCTTATCTTTTAAAAAAATAACAATTAGTTTTTTACTATGGCTCTTTTAGTTTCTATTTTATTTATTTCTGTATTGATCTTTATTGTATTTATTATGTCCTTTCTTCTACTAATTTCAGGCTTCCTGTTCTAGTTTCTTGAGATGTAAAATTAGGCTGTTTAAGATCTTTCATTTTTCTTCATTTAAGTGTTTAATCATATAAAATATCTTAGAACTACTTTTGAAAATTCCATAAATTTTAGTATGTTGCTTTTATTTTTTGTCTCATGTATTAATTAGGGTTTTTCAGAGAAAAGGAACTAATAAGATATATATAGATATATAGAAGGAGATATGTTATGGTAATTGTCTTATGTTATTATGGAGGCCAGCAAGTCCCACAATATGCCACCTGGAAGCTAGAGACAAAGGAAGGCTGGTGGTAAAATTCAGCCCAAATTTGAAAGCTTGAAAGTGTGCAGTGGGGAGGGCATTGATTTAAGTCCACACTCTGAAGGTCCAAGAACCCATCGTTCCAACGTCTGATGGCAAAGAAGATATATGTTCCAGCTCAAGAAGAGAGAGCAAATTTTTCCCTTCCTCCACTTTGTTGTTCTATTCAGGTGGGCCTTCAGTGGATTGGATAATGGTGGCCCACATTTGTGAGGGCAGATTTTCTTTATTCAGTCTGTGGATTCAAATGCTAATTTCTTCCAGAATTATCCTCACACACACTTAAATAATGTTTCGCCACCTATCTAAGTATCCCTTAACCCAGTGAAGTTGACACATAAAATTAACCATCATATGCCAAGATATTTTTTTATTAAAAATAAAAATTCTTCTTTCGCCAATTAGTTATTCAGCAGTGTGTTTTTAGTTTCCACATATTTGTGAATTTTCCAATTTTTTCCTATTTTTGATTTCTAGCTTCATACTATTGTGGTTACCAAAGATACGTGATATAATTTCAATCTTTTAAAATCTGTTAAGACTTTTCTCATGGATTAACACATGGTCTATCCTGGAGAATGTTCTGTGTGTGCTTGAAAAGATTCCTTTCTTCCTCTTGCTGCCTTCCATTGTGATTCATTAGCTTTATATAGTGGTATGTATTGATTCCTTTCTCTTTCTCTTTTGTTTATCTACTACATTTTTCTCTTTACCATGAGAAAACACAAAGCATCTTATAGTTATAATCATCTATATTAAGCTGATAAGAACTTAACTGTGATCTCATGGAAAAACACTATACTTTAAATTTTCCTCTATTTTATGTTACTGATGTCATAATTTATATATTTTTGTATTGTGAATCTATTAACAAATTATTGTAGCTATTGTAGTTATTTTTAATACTTTCGTTCTTTAACTTTTACACTGCTACTACAGTATTAGAGTATTCTGTATTTGATAATATTCTTACCTTTCCAATGATAGTTATACTTTAATGTGTTTTCATGCTGTTAGAGTTCTTTTGTTTCAACTTGAAGAACTACCGTTAGAATTTTTTGTAAGAAAGGTCTAGTGGTGATGAACTCCCTCAGCTTTTGTCTGGTAAAGTCCTCATGTCTCCTTTACTTCTGAAGAATAGCTTTACTAGGTCTAGAATTCTTAACTGGCAGGCTTTTTTCTTCAGAATTTTGAATATATCATGCCACTCTCTCCAAGCTTGCAAGATTTCTGCTGAGGAATCTACTGATAGTTTCATAATGGTTCCCTTGCATCTGGTGAGTCACTTCTGTCTTGCTGCTTCCAAAATTCTTTGTCTTTGACCATTGAGAATTTGATTATAATGTGCTTCAGTGAAGATCTCTTTATGTTTAATCTATTAGGAGTTCTTTGGAATTCGTGGAGCTGGATGTTCATTTCCCTATCCAAATTTCGGAAGTTTTCTTTCATTATTTCTGTGTATAATCTTTCCATACCCATCCTCTTTTCTCTGCTTCTTCTAAAATTTCCTTAATGCATATATTGGTCTCCTTGATATAGCCCATAGGTCCTACAGACTTTTTCACTCTTAGTCATTCTTTTATCTTTTTGTTCCTCTGACTGGGTAATTTCAAATGACTGTCCTCAAGCTCACTGATTATTTCTTTTGCTTAATCAAGTCTGCTATTGAAGTTCTCTATGGATTTTTTCTGATCAGCCATTCTGTTTTTCAGTTCCAGAATTTCTGTTTGGTTCTTTTTTATAGTTTCTCTTTGTTGAACTTCATATATTATTTTCCTGATTCCATTTAATTGTCTATATGTATTCTGTTGTACCTCACTGAGCTTCTTTAAGATGATCATTCTAAATTATTTGTTAGGTAGTTCATAGATCTCCATTTCTTTGGGTTGGTTATTGGACTTTATTTTTTTTTTCCCTTGGTGGTGGCATGTTTCCCTGATGATTCATAATCCTTGTGACCTTGTGTTGGTGTCCGTGCACTTGAAGAAACAGACACCTTGTTCAATCGTTACAGGCCGGGTTAAGCAGGGAAAGCCCTTCACCAGTCTGCCCACCCTGAGATTCTGGGTGGGCTGCTGGCACAGTCAACAGGTGAGCTTGTTACTGAGGACTTTGGGCATTCTGGCCTGGTGTCTGGTTTCATAGGGGTAGGTCTACAGCCTGAATTCATTGAGGTGGCTCTGGAGCTTGGGTCCACATGGACAGGACTTGCGCCTTATTTACCTCCAAAAGAAGGAGTATAAGCCTATCCACATAGAAGTTCTTAAATTAGCTGCATTATATTTTTCAGTATGGTGGAAATTGATGAGTAAATAATCCTTTCTCCAAAAGAGTCCTCCAGTTTTGCTTTTTTATTTCAAAGATACTATTACATTTCAAACACCGATAGCATCCAAAGTGTATAGATTATGATTCCAATTCCTACTCACAAAAGGAATGGGACAATAAGGGTATGGAGGTAGAGGGAAAATAGAAAAAAGGAATTGCTCTAACACTGAATAAAATAGATTTTAAGGGATTCCCCCCAAGAATTTCTTAGAACATAGGATATAGAACTGACTGGGTAACATGAGTAGAAATATTTCTTCTCCTGTTGGCCTAACAAAGCAAGGCAGACTGGGATTTTCCAACAGGAACATTTATTTAAAAAGTAAAAGACAAAATAAAATACAAGAGGATAAAGATAGATGGATTTACAGCACACAGACTTGTCAATGTAGTATATCCTATGTTTTCCCGTATGTATCAATCTAAGAATGAAAATGACATCTCCATTAAATAATTTGGGCACCACACCTATGGAGAGGCACTTAAATATGCATCTCAGATCTTGATCTTTCAGCAATCCTACATGGTAAAATAGGGACTATTAACCTCAATCTCTAGTTACTCAGAGAATTTTAGGTCGTTTTCCAAAGGGCCTACAAAAAATGGTTAGGCTAGATCTGGAAGCAGAACTCTTATGAATTCTCACCTTTCTGGTCATCAATTGTGAAAGAATTCTCTAGATCTTAAGTTTCTTACGTACCATGAAAATTTATACCCATATGGTGAGCACGGAGCCTAGAGGAGAGATTGAGCAACCTTTAGGAAAAGTGTTTGAAGAGGTCAAAAGTTATATAAAAGTGCAAGATATGTACACTAGAGGGTACCAACTTTCCTAGGAAAACATAAATTGTGAAAGGGTAGTTTTCACATTATTGGGTATAAAGTGTTTAAATAAAAACTCTGATCTAAGGAAGCATGGCAGAACATAGTGGCATTGCTCAGAAATCACTATGGTTTCCACATCTTCAAAGCAAGGAGGATTTCATTTTCAGCTCACTCTCTGAGCTAAAATCTCTCTGAAACATATCTTCTTTCCTGTGACTAAAACATGACCTAGGATAAGGAAGAATAAGCAGCCTATGAAAAGAGGGCACAGAATCTATAAATTACCTTGGGCAGTATGGCCATTTTCACAATATTGATTCTTCCTATCCATGAGCATCTACTTTAAAGTTCATATGGAACCAAAAAAGAGACCGCATTGCCAAGTCAATCCTAAGCCAAAAGAACAAAGCTGGAGGCATCACGCTACCTGACCTGAAACTATACTACAAGGCTACAGTAACCCAAACAGCATGGTACTGGTACCAAAACAGAGATATAGACCAATGGAACAGAACAGAGCCCTCAGAAATAATACCACACATCTACAACTATCTGATCTTTGACAAACCTGACAAAAACAAGAAATGGGGAAAGGATTCCCTATTTAACAAATGGTGCTGGGAAAACAGGCTAGCCATATGTAGAAAGCTGAAACTGGATCCCTTCTTTACACCTTATACAAAAATTAATTCAAGATGGATTAAAGACTTAAATGTTAGACCTAAAACCATAAAAACACTAGAAGAAAACCTAGGCAATACCATTCAGGACATAGGCATGGGCAACGACTTCATTTCTAAAACACCAAAAGCAATGGCAACAAAAGCCAAAATTGACAAATGGGATCCAATTAAACTGAAGAGCTTCTGCACAGCAAAAGAAACTACCATCAGAGTGAACAGGCAACCTACAGAATGGGAGAAAATTTTTGCAATCTACTTATCTGACAAAGGGCTAATATCCAGAATCTACAAAGAACTCAAACAAATTTACAGGAAAAAAACAAACAACCCCATTAAAAAGTGGGCGAAGGATATGAACAGACACTTCTCAAAAGAAGACATTTATGCAGCCAACAGACACATGAAAAAATGCTCATCATCACTGGCCATCAGAGAAATGCAAATCAAAACCACAATGAGATATCATCTCATACCAGTTAGAATGGCAATCATTAAAAAGTCAGGAAACAACAGGTGCTGGAGAGGATGTGGAGAAATAGGAACACTTTTACACTGTTAGTGGGACTGTAAACTAGTTCAACCATTGTGGAAGTCAGTGTGGCGATTCCTCAGGGATCTAGAACTAGAAATACCATTTGACCCAGCCATCTCATTACTGGGTATATACCCAATGGAATATAAATCATGCTGCTATAAAGACATATGCACACATAAGTTTATTGCAGCACTATTCACAATAGCAAAGACTTGGAACCAACCCAAATGTCCAACAATGATAGACTGGATTAAGAAAATGTGGCACATACACACCATGGAATACTATGCAGCCATGAAAAAGGATGAGTTCATGTCCTTTGTAGGGACATGGATGAAGCTGGAAACCATCATTCTCAGCAAACTATTGCAAGGACAAAAAACCAAACACTGCATGTTCTCACTCATAGGTGGGAATTGAACAATGAGAACACTTGGACACAGAAAAGGGAACATCACACACTGGGGCCTGTTGTGGGGTAGGGGAAGTGGGGAGGGATAGCATTACGAGATATACCTAATGCAAATGACGAGTTAATGGGTGCAGCACACCAACATGGCACATGTATACATATGTAACAAACCTGCACATTGTGCACATGTACCCTAGAACTTAAAGTATAATAAAATATATATATATATATATATATATATATATATATATATATATATAAAAGAAAAGAGAGCACAGAACCCTCACATTATATATCAGAGCTGCAGGACCCAGATTCTCAGAGAAGCCATTTTCATGGTTATAAGTAACCTGAAGACCCATTCTGCAGACTACATTGAAAAAAAAGTAAAGCAACACTTAGTGAAGATGCCACTAAAGATGGCATTTTCAACCCATTATTTCCCTTTGTCATCACAAATAATTTAATACAGTGAGTGTGGACATTCAACTCAGCCATTGTAAAGCAATTTTCGGAAAGATCTTTGTCCACATCTGACAAGGGGTGTGAAAGTGGGTCAATGCCCCTTTTGAAGTAGGAATATCAGCAACAATAATCCAAACAAAGAAACCCCTAATGGATGTAAAATCAGCACAGAGGGTCTGGCAGCCTACCAGGAAATTGTCCTCCCAAAGCAAAATTTTGAGACTACTGAATTGCATTTCTTAAGGATGGCAGTTTCTCTTTATACTCTAGTTTCAAGAATAAAACTTTTTGCAAGATTGGATTACTTGGGATCGAATAATCTGATAACATTTCAGACTGTTTAATGTAAAATTAGGCTCTACATCATATGTACAAAGCTCAGTGCATTAATTATAAGAATAGTGTGTGTCTCTGGCCCTGACATAGGAACTCATGGAAAGAGAGGGCAGGATGAGAGGGAGAATAATAACTCACATACTCTCTCACACACGCAAACACACAACCAGAGAGCTGCTAGAGTAGTCCTGGACTGAGGTCAAAATGTATGGGGTGTCCAGTAGGGAAAGCAGAGACACTAACACAACCCTGAGTCATAGAACTGATCAAACAAAAGGATCAAGAATACAAAGTTCATCTTAGTCCAAACAAATCAAGCCCTGGGAAGCTACTCTGGAGGCTACAGGACAAGCCCATCCTAGAGGAAGCTTTGAGAAAAGGAAATTAACCAATATGTGGTATTGGCTTACTATGTTTTACCCATTGTGCTGGGCAGTACCACATACTGGAGAAATTTACCACTAAGCCCTCCACAACCCCCTTTGTCAGCTGTCTTTCTACTGCCTTCTAAGCATCCCCCAACCACCAACAGTTGGGGCCCCCAGGCAGTTTCCTGATGGATTCCACTTGCTCTCCCCAGAAAAGTTTACCCAGGAAGCTTTCCTGATCTTTTCCTCCTTCCCTCCTCCAATGTCCTTTCCCTCAAGGTCTTGCTAGGTGACAGCTAATCTCAGCAAGAATCTGATGGATTTTAATGTATTATTGAGTTTCCCTTCCCAGACTACCCTTGAAAACACCTTGACCTGCCAGGAGGTTTCAGGGCCTTTACTTCTAAGAGAATTTTTGTCCTAATAATAAATCAAGAATTAGAAGAATGTAGCTGCTCAAATAAATCTAAATCACCTAGGATTAAAACCTGGGAGGCCCTGAGGTGTTTTTGGTTGTTTGCTAATTTCAACTTTTATTTTAGATATAAGAGGTCGACGTGCAGCCTTGTTATATGGGAATACTGCATGATGCTAAAGATTAGAGTACAGATTCCATCACCCAAGCACCCAAGTGGTGAGCATAGTGCGCAATAGGTAGTTTTTCAACCCATCCTACCCTTCCTCCTCTGACTAGTAGTCCACAGTGTTTATTTTTCCCATGTTTATGTCCCTGTGTGCTGAATGTTTAGTTCCCACCTTTAAGTAAGAATATGTGATATTAAGTTATCTGTTCCTACATTAATTTCCTTAGGATTATGGCCTGCAACTGCATCTGTGTTGTTGCAAAGGTTTTTTTTTTTTCAACATGATTTTAAAAAAAGGGGAGGCCATTAGAAATATTAGCCTCACTTAACACTGGATTCCCAATCTACCTTGGGAACCCTCTGCCCTCCTCTCCTCTCCAGCCTTTGGCTCGTTCTCTTCATGTTCCAGTCTCCTCAGTAGTGATTTTGTTTTTGTTTTGCTTTTATCTTTGTGTTCGCAAAAACAAAACAAACACCACCACAAAAGTTCATAGGAATATGTTTGTTTTACAAAGTTTACCTTCTTGCAAACATGAGAGGGCAAAAGAGTCAATCAAACATAAAGATATCAGTTAGGAATCTGTCCTTGTGCAGGTAGAAGTGTAGTTTAGAATTTTAATCACTGATACAAGCAGGATTTGCCTAGCCTTCTTAAGATAATACTCTATAGTATACCAAGCTTGTTGAGGATTAAATTAGAAGGTAGCTAGTTATCTACTGAGATTTTCCTTTATGTAAAAGATGTGAGATGCCTTTTAGGAAATGCCAAGATATACAGGTGCTTCTTTGAGGCAAAGACTGACTTTTTTAGAGTGAGAATGTTTTTGAAAATCTATTCCAACAAAATAATAGTTAAGATCCTGAAATCATTGGCTATAAAATGTTATATTCACACAGCCCCAAGGATACCAGTTCTAAAGAGGAGTTAACCTAGAAAGTAACAAGAAGAAGCAAGCTTGCAATTTGCCTTCCAGAGGAAGGTGAGAAAGTAAAGTGATGAAGCCAAGACTAAGAGCTGTCCCAGATCAATCACTTGCTCAACTTTCTGGCCCACATAATCCCCTGAGATTGCAGGAGAGGAAATGAAGAGCCCTAAGAATCAGGAAGCATGATCAAAAGCAAAAAAAAGATCTGTGTAGGGATGAAGAAATAGGACAAATGTTATTTTATTTTTACTCCCTTCTAGAAGGAGTGACCCAATCTGGGAGATGTGGTTTTTCTGATCTGAAATTATGCAATATCCCACTATCAGATTTATCATCCTCAAGAAAAATTCTGATCATGTCACACATAAAGCAAGGAGGCGTCCACTAGATTCCAGGCTATATAACTCATGTCCTTCTAATTACATTTGGAACAATCCATCTTCCCCAAATTCTATCACATTTCATATTCACTGGGGAATGACATGAAAAAAAACCAGCGGAATTAAGGAAATGTGGATAATATTTGTGAGACTAAATATCCCAGGCACTAATTCAAGAATTCTCACTGGCTATTTACCAAATCTTTCGCCCTACTAAGTTTCACCTGAAATTCTATATCTAAGAAAAATGGAATCCTGCTATACTCCAGAAACACTAATTCCTAAGGTATCTTGTCTGATTTTGGGATTCTCAACCTTTTGAAACTCAGTGCTCCCCTTGTAAAGGAAATACTCTCTAGAGCCCCCTTAACTCCCCAGACATAAAATTCAAAGATAATCTAGCTACATACATAATTCAAAGGTAAATTTAAAAAGAAGTAATATATAACAAAATAATACGTTTTTAATATTTAAAAGTCACTTGAGACATGGTACAAATCCTTGCTGTGAGAACTCTTCCACACAGTGAAGACTATCTGATGTCCCGGCTGAGAGCTCTACAACGCCAATGACCCTTCTCTTCTATCATTGTGACAAACAAATCCTCCTCAGTGAATTTCCAAAAAGCCCCTACCAGCCCCATGGAGAACTACTTAGCCAGCTGAGTTGCACAGAACCATCAGTAACAACAGCATACACTTGGAGGTCAACTCTTTCATCCTTGGACAGAAGCCCATTCTGCAAGGAAAGGCACTCAACATCATCCAACAGCTAGATTGTTTTCTCTCTTTTTTTTTTTTTTTTTTTAAGACGGAGTCTCGCTCTGTCGCCTAGGCTGGAGTGTAGTGGCGCGATCTCAGCTCACTGCAAGCTCTGCCTCCTGGGTTCATGCCATTCTCCTGCCTCAGCCTCCCGAGTAGCTGGGACTACAGGTGCCCGCCACAGCATCCAGCTAATTTTTTGTATTTTTAGTAGAGAGGGGGTTTCGCCGTGTTAGCCAGGATGGTCTCGATGTCCTGAGCTCGTGATCTGCCCGCCTCGGCCTCCCAAAGTGCTGGTATTACAGGCGTGAGCCACTGCGCCCAGACTTCTCTAACTTTTAAACTGGTTGTGTCCCTTAGTTATCTCTGAATACAAGTTTTAAAAGTAGTGTCAATAGTAAATGAAAATTTCAGGATGAAAAGTATAACTTCGTCCAGTAAAAACTGTTGAATTGATGACACCAAACATCTTTATATTTTCAAATACAGACCTTTCGTCATATATCTACATAATGGACAGCCACTTAACATGCAGATAATTGAATGATTTTTCATCTAGATTTTTTTCAAGTTTGCTAGAGTAGAGTGGAAGTGTATGTCTGATGCTGGTCAGTATACAGCTGATCCTAGAATAGAGGGCCCTCCTACCAATGGAAAAGGATTGCTTCTGTAGGAAGAATTTTGAATTTTCATAACATTTTCTGAACACCTATTCCCCACACAATCTTCCATTCTTTAGAGATATGTTACATTTCCAAATGGCATTTATTCATGTATTCTTTTATTCGTTCTTCAAAACATTACAGGATGCTCCTTATAAATCATTCACTGTTTGAGTCACACAAAAATTAATAAAAGGGCCTCTGCCCTCAGGAGGCTTACACTCTTAGAGGTCAGATGTGAAAAATAATCACAACACATACAATGCTTCAATAATACACTTATATGCTAAGTTCAGTATTAACAAGAGGTAGCCTAGGATAAAGGTTTTGGAGTCAGGTTGCCAGGGTCAAATCCGTCTTTCTATTTATTTACTTTGTGACCTTAGGCAAGTTACTTAACCTTTCTGTACCTCATTTTCCTTGGCTATAAAATGGGAATAATAGTACTGCCAATAACTGTATCTACTTCATAGGGCAATTTTGAGAATTAAAAAATCCAATATATGGAACTTATTTAGACTGCACTCATTAAGTGCCTACTGTTGTTTACGTTGTTATAATAGATGCAGAAAGAAAGGATTTTATTTTAACACACTGAGTAGCAAAGGCTTTTCTGGAAGTTTGGCTCCAGTTTTCCAAAATAATGTTATCTTCTCCTCAACTCCTTTGCCAGTTACCAAGTTTTCTTGGCAAGACCAAAAGTCCATTTAAAGATGGGGAAACAATATTAGCCTCTAACAAAAAAGTAGTTAAATAAATTAAGAGACTTTTCATTTTTGTTCACCACTGTGCTTCAGGACTAGCAGAAGACCTGATACATAATAAGAACTAATAATTACTTAATTAATAAATGACTAGATCAATGGAATATTATTTAGCCATTAAAAAGACATATCCTTATTTATTGATGTAAAAAATCCAGCAAGTATTAAGTGAAAATAGTCACAAATGGAAGAATATGGAAGATCCCCTTTTTGTCTTTAACAGTTTACCTAGAATGTATATGCACAAATTCTGAGAAGTAGACCAAGATGGTAACAGTGTTTGTTTCTTAGTAATGAGATTATGGTCGAGTTTTGCTTCACTCTTTGGAAATTACTGAATTTCACTATATCTTTGTGCAATATGTATGTGCTACTTTTACAAACAGAAAAACGGTAATAACACTTAATGGGACACTAATGAGTAGCTAAATGGTCAAAGGTAAAGAGAAAAAACAGTAATAAATGGTACAAATTATTCATTGACAAAAAGGTCATTGACCTAGTCCAGAATTGGCTATTACAAAAATAAGCTTTTGAAAATTATACTGAAATTATATATTGTTCACATATTTGCTTTGTCAGTAGCTAATTTTCACTCTACCTTCCTTAAAAGCTGGTCTTACTACTGTAATCTCACTATCCAGAATTTATTATTTCTGGTCCATAATAATTGACCATTTCCAACTGATTATCCATTCTATCTTCACTTAAAAACAGAATATTAAAGTCTGAATTTTTGTATCCCTTGCAATTACTTCTCTGTGTATTTTGGAGCTTCCCTGTAATGTGAGTCAATTTATATCTTTATCCTTATTTACAGTGAAAGAAGCATGAATTAACTAAGTTCAAGGGCTTTCTGGCAGTGCAATGGTTAAAATTCCTAGGGTTTGCTGCCTCTTTCTAGCAAATGAAAACTAATTCATGACTTAATTTGTAGGTTGGGAGTAAAGCATAATTACTAGGAAATGACAAGTCAACTATGAAGAAGCAGGTGAATCTGCATTTGAACAACTCTTCTATTAGAAGTTGCATGTACAGTATATAAAAGAAGGCTGGATTTAACTCTGGGTTACCGGCCTCTTGAACACTGCAGTAAAAGAGTGAACTAGAACATTCAAGGAAGATGCATTTTCTCTGTAAAAATTAGCATCTTAACTAAAATTTTCAGTGCACTGTGCCACACGAGGACAGCTTGATGGAGCAACAAATGCTGCTCTCCGTATGTCAGCAGAAGCAGTGTTTTGACAGTTCATGGCATATTTTTGCAGGTCTACTGAGACCTCCGGGACTGTACTAAAGGAAGGATTTAGTCTTGTTTCTATGGAAACCATAACTACTCTGTAAGCCTGTTAAACAAGACAGTTTGCAATATGGTATCTTATTCAAGATGAATAGTCTTTGTAATATATCATTGATAAATTTTTCTATCTAGATTTCAACATCTGCCTGAGAAAATTCTAAATCTTTGATGACTCCACAAGAAAAACATCAGCCAGCCACAGTGCAAACAAGCTCTATTGCAATCTGGTTCATGTGCTGGGAAATAAAAATGGTTTCTACCTTAACGAAAAAAAGAAAAGGAATTCAGCCTAGAACACAGGAATACAGGAATGACATTTTCACTTTGAACAACTGACAAGAAGCTAGCATTACCTTAACTAGCTTTTATTTGCATTTCTTTTAATTTTTCACTTTTCTTCACGACAAAGAGATTGGTGGTTTTAAAAATAAATTGGTTTAAGGCTTAAGAAACAGAAAATGTGTGTTATCTCCTCTGTCTACTAGCTTTGAATATTTATGCACATGCACTAGACTATAACTTTTGTTATTGTTCACCAGCGCTTACCACAACATCCAGCATAGAAGATAAAAAGCAGTAATAATATTATAACAATATCAACCACCATTTGTAGCAACAGCTTTGCTACAGATATTGTGGTTAGTGCCTTACATGAATTATCTTATTTAATTCTCACTACAGCCCTATGGGTAGATACTTTGATTAGCCCCGATGCACAGATAAGAAAATTGAAGATTAGTGAGCCTAGGAAACTTGGCCATTTTCACACAGATAGTAAAATAGCAGAAATGGAATTGAAAGTTGATCTGATTCCAAACCTTGTCTTCTTGACACTATCCTATTCTGTATATTGTTAGGTGAGTTAATAATTAACAATACAACTTCTCTGAGCCTTCTCTAAAACAAATGGGGATGGACCCTACCTCATAAGAGGTTTATATTGATTCTGTGGTTTACTTTATAAGCAATAAAGAACCATACAAATTTTAACACTGATAATAATTATCAGTGTTATTATTATTGGCTCTTTGCTTTTACAGGCTAGACATGATCTTCATACAACAAAAGAATCATGTTTGAACTTCTATTTTTTGCATGTGGGTAAGTTTATTTTAATACTGCTGTCTTAAGAGCATCACATAGACAGTGATTGCAAAGAAACATGCATGTGAGTAAGTTAGACATTAGCCCTAATGGAAAAATAGTTGTTTTATATATTATTTGGTCTTATCTCTGTACCAACTGCCTGCAGATCTGAAGACTGGAAAGAGTCTTCATAAAACTGTAGAGCATCTTTTCATCAGAGCTGGTTATCACATCAAGACAAAGTGGGACCAAACTGCTACTGTGCTTATTGTGGAAGAACTGGTTTTCTGCTGATTGCAAAAGCTCAGGACAGAGCTGTGGAAAGTAGTGAGGCAGCCACGAGTACTTATGCAACATTGGTTCATTAGTTGATGACATGGCTGATGATGACATGTAGCCTTGCACACACAGGTGTTTGAGTGCTACAGTCTGCCCTTTATTTCTGGTAACAGTTGCTTCTTGTAAGAGCTGTCATTACTGACAGATTTTCATGCTGTGAGGGTCAACATACAGCTCTTGGGGTGGAACCAGAGGGCCAAAGACCCCAACAGCTCCACCTCACTCTTGCTGAGCTGCATAGAGCTGTGACCAGCAGAAACACGGGGACAGGTGGTGCAGGAGGCAGTCAACCAGATCGAGCTGCAAGTTCCAATGCCACCATGAACTCATTGTATTGTCTTAGACTAACTAATCGTTGTACATTTTGATACCCTCATTTGTAAAGTAGAAAATAATAATACCTGTATTGGCAAAAAAAAAAAAAAAAAGAAGAAGAAGAAGAAGATAGTGCCAGGAGTGGTATGGAGAAAGAATTCATTGAATGCTGGCTGTCACTATTTTAAAACCTCAAATTAGTATCTTTATTTCTTTAATTGAATCTTTACCTTTGCAAATAGACACATTCTGGGTTGGGAGGACTAGAATGTACATAAATAAATGAAATATTTTGAAATAGTTTTTAAATGCTGCTTGTTATTTTTTCACCTTTGCCCTATCCTACATCCTCTTATGTATTAGTCTGTTCTTGCACTGCTATAAAGAAACACCTGAAACAGGGTAATTTGTAAAGAAAAGAGGTTTAATTGGCTCATGGATTTGCAGGCTATACAGGAAGCAAGCCAAGGAGGCCTCAGGAAACTTATAATCATGGAAGAAGGTAAAGAGGAAGCAGGCACATCTTCACATGACCACAGCAGGAGGAAGAGAGAGGAGACAGAAGTGCTACACACTTTTAAACAACCAAATCTCATGAGAATTCACTCACAATCACCAGAACAGCAAGAGGAAAATCCATCCCCATGGTCCAATCACCTCCCACCAGGCCACACCTCCAACACTGGGGATTATAATTTGACATGATATTTGGGCAGGGACACAGACCGAAACCATATCATTCTGCCTCTGGCCCCTCCCAAATCTCACCTTCTCTTTACATTTCAAAACCAATCATGCCTTCCCAACAGTCTCACAATGTCTTATTACCCCAAAAGTCTCATTCCAGCATTACCCCAAAAGCCCAAGTCCAAAGTCTCATCTGAGACAAGGTAAGTCCCTTCCACCTATGAGCCTGTAAAATCAAAAGCAACTTAGTTACTTCTGAGACACAATGGGAGTATAGGCATTGAGTAAATACTCTCTTTCCAAAAGGGAGAAATCAGCCAAAAGAAAGGACCTACAGGCCCTTTGCAAATCCAAAATGCAGCAGGGCAGTCATTAAATCTTAAAGCTCCAAAATAATCTCCTTTGACTCCATGTCTCACAACCAGGTCACACTGATGCAAGGGGTGGGCTCTCTAGGCCTTGGACAGCTCTGCCCCATGACTTTGCAGGGCTCAGCCCCCACAGCTGCTCTCAAGGGCTGGCATTGAGTGCTTACAACTTTTCCAGGCCTACAGTGCAAGCTGTTAGTGGATCTATAATTCTGGGGTTGAAAAACAGTGGCCCTCCTCTCACAGCTCTACTAGGCAGTGCCCCAGTGTGGACTCTGCATGGGAACTCCAACCCCACATTTTCCCTTCACACTGCACTAGTAGAAGTTCTCTATGAGGGCTCCACTTCTGCAACAGACTTCTTCCTGGATGCCCATGATTTTCCATAAATCTTCTGAAATCTAGGCGAAGGCTCCCAAGCCTCAACTCTTACACTCTGCACACCCAAAGGCTTAACACCACATAGTAGCCATGAAGGCTTAGAGCTTTCACCTTCTGAAGCAGCAGCCTGAGTAGCTGTGCCCCTTTGAGCCATGGCTGGAGCAGCCAAGATGCAGGGAGGAGTGTACCGAGTTTGCGCAGGGCAGTACAGCCCTAGGCCTGACCCACAAACCCATTCTTCCCTCCTAGGCCATCAGAGCCTATAGGGCCTTTTCCCCATTGTCTTGGCTATTAGTACTTCCCTTCCTTTTAGTTATGCAAATTTCTGCAGCCTGCTTTAATTCCTTCCGTGAAAATGGGTTTTTCTTTTCTACCATATGGCCAAGCTGCAAATTTTCCAAGCTTTTATTCTTTATTTTCCTTTTAAATATAAGTTCCAGTTTCAGGTCATTTCTTTGTTCACATATATGAGGATAGGCTTTTAGAAGCAGCCAGGACAAATCCTGAAGGCTTTGCTGCTTAGAAATTTATTCTGCCAGATACCCTAAATCATCTCTCTCAATTTCAAAGTTCCACAGATCACTAGAGCAGGGGCACAGTGTTGCCAGGTTCTTTGCTAATGCATAACAAAAGTGACATTTGATCCAGTTCCCAAGAAGTTCCTCATTTACATCTGAGACCTCATCAGCTGGCCATCTCTGTCCATATCACTATCAGCATGTTGGTCAAAACCATTAAGTGAGTCTCTAGGAAGTTCCAAACTTTCCCTCATCTTCCTGTCTTCTGAGCCTTCCACACTCTTCCAGCCTCTGCTGGTTACCCAGTTCCAAAGTCATTTCCACATTTTCAGGTATCTTTATAGCAATGCCCCACTCCTAAGTATCAATTCTCTATATTAGTCCATTCTAACACTGCTATAAAAAATACCTGAAGCTGGGTAATTTAAAAAGAAAAAAGGTTTAATTGTCTCATGGTTTCACAGGCTGTACAGGAAACATGACTGAGGAAGCCTTAGGAAATTTACAATCATGGCAGAAGGTGAAGGGAAAACAGGCACATCTTCACATGGCCTAAGCAGGAAGAAGAGAGAGAAGGGAGAGGTGCTACACACTTTTAAACAAACAGATCTCATGAGAGCTTACTATCTCAAGAATAGCAAAAGGGAAATTCACTCACTGATCCAATCACCTCCTTTCAGGCCTCACCTCCAACTCTGAGGATTACAATTTGACATGAGATTTGGGTGGGGATACAGACCCAACCATATCACTCTATGTTTCTAGGTACTCTGAAAATGATGAATGACTCAGTCTTTTCAGAAAATTCATAGCAATATACATCGCAGCACATGGCAGATGTTTAATAAATATTCATTAAATTAATTAAATTAATAAATGAGTGGCATTAAAACTTGGTTTCTTATGGCCAGGCACTGTGGCTCATGCTTGTAATCCCAGCACTTTAGGAGGCCAAGGTGGGTGGATCACCTGAGGCCAGGAGCTCAAGCCCAGCCTGGCCAACATGGTGAAACCCCATCTCTACTAAAAACACAAAAATTAGCTGGGTCTGGTGGCGGGCACTTACAATCCCAGCTACTTGGGAAGCTGAGGCAGGAGAATTGCTTGAACCCAGGAGGCAGAGGTTGCAGTGAGCCGAGATTGCACCATTGCACTCCATCCTGGGTGACAACAGCGAAACTCTGCCTCACCAAAACAAAACAAAAAACTTGGTTTTTGGGGTTTACTGGAATAAATTTATACCTTGAAACCTAAACACAATACTTTAATTTTAAAAATCTTGTCATTTGCTAGTGTCAAAATAAATTGCTCTCTAGAGAGAGGAGGCTCATGTTTTCAAACTGTGAACTTGTGAGCAGTATTCCTTATCCATGACTAGAAGAGGGAGCTAGACTGGGGTCAGCAGGAATTACAAAGCAATGCAGAGCTGGATATTTTACCACTAAGGCCTGTTTACTCCAATTTATATCTCTGTTTTCCTGCTTACAGATGATGAAAAGGCATTATACAATTCTGCATGGCTTAACAACAGGGATCCATCCTGAGAAATGTATGATTGGTGATTTTGTCATTATATGAATATCATAGAGTGTATTTACACAAACCTATATGGTACAGCATACTACACATCTAGGCTATATAATATAGCTTATTGCTCCTAGGCTACAAACCGATATAGCATGTAACTGTACTGTACTGAATACTGTAGGCAATTGTAGCACAATAGTAAGTATTTGTGTATATAAACATAGAAATGATACAGTCAAAATATGGCATTATAATCTTATGGGACCACTATTGTGTATGCAGCCTATCATTGACCAAATGTCATTGTGCAATGCATGACTGTATTATATCCACCACATCAAGAAGTCAAAGTTAACACCATTAGGACATAATCTTTGAAAAACTGATGCTTCAGAGATCATAGTTCCACATTTTAACTTATTAAATCACAACATTTTAGAATTGAAGAGGTCTTAAAGATCAAGTTTTATCTAACATCCTAATTTATAGACAATCAGTCTGATGTCCAAAACACCTAAGAGTCTTTCTGTGATCATTCAGCTAGTGCAGTGATACAGCCAGGGCTAGACTCTAACAAGACAGTAATAATAAAACAACCATGTTTTTAGTGTTTCCTACGTGCCAGGCACTACTGCCTGGGACAACTCTTTCTGCCATGAGATTCTTTAAAAAGAAAGAAGCAGAGATTTGAGGAAAGATTTTGCTCACATTTGTGAAGGAAAAAAAAATATTTCTGATATGACAAGAAAATATCAAGGCTTCCCATTACTGAGTTTTTTCCCCAGCTTTAGTGAGGTATAATTGACAAAAAATTCATATATTCTTAGTGTACAAAATGTGATGATTTGATATATCTATACAATGTGAAATAATTACTACAATCAAATTAATTAACACATCCATACCCACACACAACTACCATTGTGTGTGTGTGTGTGTGTGTGTGTGTGTGTGTGTGTGTGTTAACACTTAGGATCTGTTCTCTCAGCAAATTTCAGGTAAACGATACAGTAATATTGATGACAGTCACCATGTTATGCATTAGGCTGTTACTGTTACTTTGTGCATTAGTCACAGATTCAAGATCCTGACATATTGGAAACTACTTTCCTTTAAATATTTGCCTGTCCGTTAGCAAAAAAGAGAGTCCAAACAATTCTTGTATAGCACATGCTAATTAGAAGAGGGTACAGTTTTAAAGAGAGGATTCTGTTGTTTTTAAAGTGGGCAAAAACAATATGGAATGTGACTGTACAACCAAGTGAGAAGTGGTAAATGAGACAAGGCTGGGAAATGAAAAGTCACTCATTTCCTTTCCCTACTTCTGTCTACTCTCCTGAATCTTCTAAAAATGTAAAAGGTGAGTGTGCCTGGGAAAGTAGGGCTTCACAAACTTTTTAAAAAATGGGGCAAGTAAGGTTTATTCTAAAACATGTCTCAGCTGCCCTGCCTAGTTTGAAATGTTTTGCAGGATGCTAAACCAGCTCAAATTGTGTTGAAGCTTTATTACAGTGCCCATCTTGAGGAGTCTGTTTCATTGTGATGCTGCTGGCACTTGTGGGAACTAATCCTCCCTAAAAAGGGTTATACAGTTTAGAGCAGACCATGCTATAGCAGATACCTTGAATTGCCACTGTGTCGAATCAATTTTACTATAGCATCACTATTTTACAACCGTGAGAAATAATGGAATTAGAGATGCATTAAAATGGAGAAGTATTTTTATTGGTTCAAATATGTTTTATCATCTAATCCATTTTCAAAAGCCCCAGATTGAGAGTTACTTTTGTCTTCGCCCCAGCTATCTAATCTTACTGCTTGCTGTTTCCTATTCCTTCTCGATGCTCCCCCTCCCTCTTGTCAGGTTGATTTCTCTACAGTTTCCAGATGAGCAGGGATCACTCTGGTCTCCATGCCTATGCTGGCAGTTTCCACTTTCTGAATGCATCTGCATTCTTATTCTATCATACTAATAATGCATGTAAAGTCATACAGTCCCAAAGGCTGTCATAGAAAAGAGCAGTGGCAGCATCCTGCATTCTACCCCATCTCACTCCTTAAAGGCAGACATTTTAACTCTTAGCTGTTTATATACCATGATTGCCCCCACATTCCTAAATAATTTGTGCATACTATTAGCTCTTGAATTTTAAACACTATCTACTGACTTGTTCTTATAATAAAAGACTGCTTTATTTCTCTTATTATAGCCTCAATATTTTTTAATCACAGTTTTTAGTCATTATTTGATTGTGTTAAAATTGTTTACGCTGAGCCAAAAAGCAAACTATGATTATGGTTCCTTTCTTGTACAAGTTTTTTTTCCTCTAGAGTTAATAACTTCCCCATTTTGTTCTTAATTTGCCTTTCTTAATTTCTTGATTTTCTTTCTGCAGCCTCTGAAGGCTCTCTAAAATGCTACTCAGTACAATGTTCCTTTTGGTGAAGTCTGTCAGATAATCTACTACATCCATTTCTCTCCTTTTCCTGATCTAATCTGGACTGGTTGGCACCAGCTGTCAACTTGGATTTCTGCTTCCCATGCTCTTCTGTTGGATTCTTTTTCCAGAGTGCCCTTTCTTCCTCTCTCATGCTTTAGCCTTCAATTTAGCAGAGCACTTCTTCCAGGATCTTCTTGAAACAGGGCGCTTGGCAGATATATGTTTGAACTATTGCATGCCTGACATATTTTTATTCTACCTTATACTGGATTGATCATTTTGCTTGATAAAAAATTTGATGCTGAAATCATTTCCCTCAGAATGCTGGAAACTTTCTCCATTGTCTTCTAGCACCCAGCACTGGTATTGAGCAATGCCATTCTGATTCCCAGATTTTTGTATGTCATCTTTTCTCTTTTTCTCTGAAAATTTTTGGCATCTCCTTTAACCCCTGTGTTGTGAAATTTTATGATGATATGCCTTGCTGTGGACCTTTTCATTTATTTTCCCGGGTACTCAGCAGCCATTTTCAATCTACAAATTCATGCCTTTGGGTTATACAGAAATTTATTCTATTATTATGTTGATTCCTTTTTTTTCTTCTGTTTCTCTTCTGGAATCTTTCATTTTCATGCTAGAGCTCCTGGACTGATCTTTCAACTTTGTTACCACTTCTCTTCTTGTCCATCTCTTTTATTCTACTTTTTGGGAAATTTCTCATGTTTACGAGCCTCTTCACTATTACTCATTTTTCCTTTGTACAACTTCTATTAATTGATCCTCTCATTTTCTTAACTCTTCTTCCTTATTGTTCATTTTAAAATCTAATTTCTTGGACATGTGTTCCAAGTTTTACATATTTCTTATTAGTTTTCTCAATTTCTAAGAATTCTTTAGTAATCATTTAACATTTAAGACTGTTTTCTGATCATTCATCTTAAAGCATCTTAAATCTTGCTTATGAATGCAAAAAAAAAAGTTTCATCTCTCAGGCTCTCTTACAGCATCTTTATTCTCTACCCTGACTTATTTTCTGCCTAGACTTTTTTACTATTTATTATTTTGGACTTTATCTTTCACTTTCTGGAGCTGTCAGGATAAATGGGCTGGAGTCTTACCTTTCAGTTTGCCCACTTTTATGGAGTCCTCAAGTTTAGGTCTGACACCACCTCCCCATTCCCCTCTAGGTCTAGTGTCCCACTAGCTCTGCCAAGCTGGCAGTGGAAAAAAAAATGGAGAAAGATAGTCACGAGGCAAAGTGAGAATGGTCACTCTTTATCCCAACTTTCCAATAAACCTATCTATTCAGCTTTCTATTTCATTCTGCTATGTCTGTCCTCACACTTTCTTGGCACCTGCTGTAGCCAGTTACTGCAACTTTCTGGGGACTGGCTGAGTGCATTGGCTTGTTCCTTATCAGTATCCCCTCTGTGTACACCTGGGCTTTCCTCCTTGCTGCCAGGTTACCAACTATTCCTTCATCTGCCTTTCATCCTCATATGCTGGTCTGGAGTAACAGATGTCCCCAGTTCTTATTCTCCTTGGTTTCTATTAAATTTTGTATTTGTTTTATTTTCAATTTTTCCAAGAGACAAAGCAGAATTATCTTTTTTCCACTTTAAAACCATTATTATTGTCCATAAACATTTACATGATACTCTGATTCATAATTTTCCTTCCCTTCTTCTAAATCCTAAAATCAGAGCATAAGTGACCACTGTGTTGTCCCCAGGTGTGGTAGACTTTATCTGTGCCATTTCCTTGTGCTTTGGCCAACTTATAAATGCTTTCATATACTTCTCTCTGTTTGGGAGACTTTATAGGACTGCAGAGGCTGCTCTACCTGTGTAGACATGGCAGTCCCAATAGAAGAGGAAATTTTCAACCCCAAGAAGCATAGCATCCCCTCATGAATAACTCTTGGGAGCTGATGTATTAATACCCCAGCTCCCTCCCCAGCTTAGGTGAGATAATACTGAGGTATGTGTTTCATAGCTTTGCACATAGATTTTCCATGAGATTAAGTTCTAGTTGTTCATAATGGTGGCTGCCTTCTTAAGACACCCTTTTTGGGGAATCAAATCTAAAACAAATCAGTAGCATAGATGCACCTAAGAAAAAGATCTTTAAGAACCGAATAATTCAAGACCAGATGACAACCAGAACTCTGTTGCTGTTGACAAGTAGGGGTTTGGTGATGCTTCACATGTCACAGCATCACATGACCAAGATTATCATCTGTTGTAAATCGAGATGGAATAATGGTGGAAGGGAATACACTAGTGTAGTCCCTCTAGCATGACAGATACATGGTAATTTTAAGTACTCTGGGGTTGGAGTTGGTAGTTGCTCTTCAGTGCCACTGGGATGACTGAAGAAAAAAAATGCCAGACTCAAGTCACACCAGCTAATGTCACAGTGAAAAGCCAAAAATTCCCTCTACCAGTGATAAAAAAGACATTCAACGTCTTCCCAGATTCTCAGCCTCTTGTTCCCAAGCCAACAATCAGTAAATGCTCTGAGGACAGAGGTAGCATGCAGAAGGTCAGCTTGCTTTATCTCTGGGATGGAACCCTTCAAATTCAGACCACCTCAGAAACTCTCCAATGCCTTCAAATAAATTATTTTCTTTAGCTTAGCAGACATTTTTGGTTGTTCGTAGTAAAATACTTGTCTGCCGTGAGCTACTCCATCATAACTGTTTTTTGCTTTATTTAATTTTCTCTCTCTGTAAAAACCGATTATCTCACATTTCAAGGAATTTTACTAAACAGTGTTGCAGGTCATTTGAAGTTGTGTGAGGTATGAGACCATTTTTATTGTGGGAAATTGTCCCAGAATTATAGAATATTTATCATCTTTTGCCTACTAAATGCCAATGTATTCCCAAACATTATAGCAACCAACAGATTTCTCTACAAATTTCCAAATTCTTCTGAAGTGAGCAGTATCATTGCCATGAGAACCAGTGGTCTATGACAGCCATGATAGCTCCTTGTCAGCTGTTCTTTCAGGAACCTAGTCATAAGCCATAAGCTCATGCATTTCTCTAGCATAAGTTAATGGTCCAGAGGTAGGTTCATGACACGAACTGACCAAAATAGACTTTAAAAATGACTCTTGGGCTGGGTGCAATGGCTCATACCTATAATTCCAGCACTATGGAATGCCGATGCAGGCAGATCACTTTGTGCCAAGAGTTCGAGACCAGCCTGGCCAATGTGGCAAAACCCTGTCTGTACTAAAAATACAAAAATTAGCCAGACGTGGTGGTACGTGTCTGTAATCTCAGCTACTCGAGAGGCTGAGTCAGGAGAATCGCTTGAAGCCAGGAGTGGGAGGTTGCAGTGAGCCAAGATCACGTCACTGCTATACTCCAGCTTGGGCGACAGAGTGAGACTGTCTCAAAAAAAAAAAAAAAAAGAAAGAAAGAAAAAAACAAAAAGAAAAAAAAGACTCTTATTCCATCATAGTAGCATTCTCTTCTCTTTCTCTCTCTCTCTCTCTCTCTCTCTCAACAATGAAGCATGTAACCTTACTGCACTATTAGTAATGGTATCATCTGATTACCGCAATGAAATTATGCTTATGATGGCATTCAATCTATATATGGTAGACTAAAGGAGCAGAAAACAACCTGGGTTTTTGATGCCATCTCTGTGCTGCTGAATCAACCAGCTTTAAAGCTCACCCTACTTCTGAACTTCTAGCTATGTAAGATAGTTGCATCATTGCTTAAGATAGATTGAGAAAATGTTCTCTAACTTATGTTTAAAAGTGTCCAAACTAATACAAGAGGGGAAAGAAGCTCTGACTTCTGAGAATCCAGGTCTGGCTCTAACTTACATGATTTACTCAGACAAAGTCCCTACCTTCTGTCTTTAGAAGGCAGTATACCAATCACCTGTGAGGCTAATTGAGCATGCATTATTAGAAGTCTTATTCCACCTCACCTAAGTAACATAACAAATAATTACTGCCAACCACACACCACACACCTCTGAGTTCTGAATATGCATTTATGGTGTACCCCATCTTCTTGCACTTGTAGTGATATTTTAGTATCCCTATGATTTAGTTAGGATTAAGTTCTGCTGCAAGTGACACTGACTTCAATAAGATACTTTATTTCTTGCTTGCATAAGCCAAGTTTCAGTCTCAGACTGCTGTGGAAATTCCACTGCAAAGCATCAGAGCTGAGCTCTATGTAATTTCTTGTTCTTCTATGCAACCTCTATACCTAAATTTACTCTAAGGTCTAATATTGTTGCTCCAGCTTCAGCCATCACAACTTGAGAAGGAAAGAAGAATGAGGATGAGAAGTGCATGTTCCTTTCCTTTGAGACTATATTCTATGAATAGGTCAAAAGATCTAACATGAGGACTACAGTTAATCATAGTGTATTATATTCAGAATTTTTGCTAAATGAATAAATTATAGCTGTTCTTGTCACAGGAGAGGATAAGAGGATGGGGGGATGAGTAATGATATAAGATAATGAGTATGTCAATTTGTTTCACTATAGTAACTATATAGAGAGAGTTACTATACATACACACACACACACACACACACACACACACTCATACACATCTATATACAAAATAACACTATGTTATATGCCGTAAATATACACAGTAGAAGTTATCTAAAAAAATACATCCTAGAAGGGGCACTGACAATTTGTGTTTATATCTCACTGGCCAGAACATAGCCACATGAAACACCTAACCACACGTGAAACTGAGAAATGCGATTTCTGCTTTGGATAGCCACATCCTACCTAAAATCCTACAATTCCATAACTGAAGAAGAAAGAGCAAATGGGTGTTGAAGGACAACAAGCTGAGTCTGATACAACCTAGAATGACCTCCACTCTCCCTGCAACCACTTAGCCTGGCTAACTCTTACTCATTTTGGGCCTTAGTTTAGCTGTTACCTTTTACAGAAAGCCTTTCTGAATCCTTATGGCAAGCCTGCGTTAAGTGTCCTTCCTTTATACTCCCACAGTCTCTGTCCCTCCTTCCCAAACAATCCACTAATCACTCCCTTCATACACACACACATTCACACACACACACACACACACACACACGAAGTGATTTGCCTGGGTCATAAAACAGTAGGGGGAGGAACTGCTACATGAACCAGGTGGTCTTATCTAGAGTCTAGACCACCCATTGAACCACTTCACTAAGTTTACCTCTTAATATTTCCTCACTAATATCTATAAGGGCAGCAAGTTGCCAATCTCAATTACTATTCCATGCTCATTACATAGCTCAAAACCTAACACTGAGTAATTCCCAAAAAACACTGTTTAAATAAGTGAAAAGGAAAACAGCAATATCTCTCACTGCAATCTGTGGCAGGCCTGTGTTATCTCCAAAACCCAAGTAAATTATCCAGGACAAAAAGTGGCTATTCCCTGATTTATAGCATGACCATCTGTTCCAGTACCTCATTCTTTTCAACGAAGAATGTAAAGAGGAAGAGGAAATCTCACATACAAAACAAAAACTTCAACTTGGTTTTGGTAGAACTAGAGCCTAAATCTTCTGGGTTCTTGTTTAAAGTCTCACATAGGTTCCTACATGAGAGGGGCAGCTCTGTAATTCTAAGAGTAAGTCCCGGGGTAAGAATACCCAATTTAAACAGTTGTTCATAGGAAAACAAGGGGGAGAATCAGACACTAGTGAATTCACCGCCCAACATCCCTTTGATTTTTTCATTAATCTAGATTTAGAACGGCTAGTTTCATTACAATGTCAAGATATAAAACAGGCCGGGCACAGTGGCTCATGCCTGTAATCCCAGCACTTTGGGAAGCCGAGGCAGGTGGATCACCTGAGCTGAGGTCAGGAGTTTGAGACCAGCCTGGCCAACATGGTGAAACCCCATCTCTACTAAAAATACAAAAAAATTAGCCAGGCATGGTAGTGAGCGCCTGTAATTCCAGCTACTCGGGAGGATGAGGCAGGACAATCGCTTGAACCCAGAAGGCAGAGGTTGCAGTGAGCAAAGATTGCACCACTACACTCCAGCCTGGGCAACAAAAGCAAAACTCAGTCCCCTCCAAAAAAAAGATATAAAACATTTATTAAATAAACATTTTCAGAATGCAGTTATATGTTTTATACCGTGGCTTTCTCTGCTTTCCATATGCTTTACTCACACACTATGTGCTGGAAAACCACAGTGCTTTTATATTTGTTGATATTCTACACACTAAGAAACTGAGATTATACCCTATCCTTGGGGGATAAGCATCAAGTTGCCTTATTCCAAACCCAGCTAAGATTTTATTGCTTTTGATCAAAAATAACTATTAAAATCACAACATTTATATGATCATTTAAAAAAATCTCAGCACATTGTCCCAGATGTGTAAATGTGAATACATATTTGATGAGCTCCTACATTATTTAAAGCAATGAAGAAAAGCCCAAGTGTGATTTAATACCAGCTTCTAAGACATTCCATCATTACGCTGGAGATCTGACCTAAGGGCTGAGCATGATGGGAATATAGGAGTTTAAACTGGATCAGGGAGAATTTAGACCAGTTGAAAAACAAACTCTTCTGATTCACCACCAACTCCAAATCTCCCTTCTCTCCCCATTCCACATCTCCACTTCTTAGCCCCACTCACATGTCTATGGTAATAGGTGAAGTCCAACACACATCTTGTATTTTTTTTTCCCAAAAGGTACCATATTTCAGTGATCCGTGTTCTCATCCAAACTATCAAAATATCAGTATAAAAATGTAAAAATATAATTTGTATACAAATATAGAGTGAATATCAATGAGAGTACCAAAAGAATGACAAAGCTGATTCAAGGAGATTTGAAAAATGAAGATTTTTATAGTGGTCAGGGGGAAGGACTGCTGAGATAATACTGCTAAGTTAAATACAAAACTGGTTGAAATCCTTCAGAGCAATAAGACCAGACTCTTTGGTGTTGAGTTCTCTACAGAAAAGAAAAAATATTCATCTAAAATTATCCTATCTTATCAGGTTTACAGAATTATTTAATCAAGTGTACAAAGTTTATTCCCCTAAAGTTAAAAGATCTTCAAGAAAGCCCATTAGACAATGTTCTTTGCATTATATTAAAACTTCAGATAATCATTTTTTGCCTCAATTCTGTTAATGCTCTTTAGCCAAGTCCACCAGAAATACACCTATAGTGGAACAAGTTGGGTTTATTACTCGTTATAGCAAGGAAGAACCCTCACCATGGGGAAATGTTGGATGTTTCAGTTAGAGAATGTGAGAATGAATATATTATAGAATTTGGATTTTGAATTTTGTTTGAATGATTTGGGGTGGGGGGTTTAAGAGAGCCAGAGTTTGCCCTAGATTGGGTGCTGTTAGAAAAGAGAGACAGGCCGGGCGTGGTGGCTCACACCTATAATCCCAACACATTGGGAGGCCAAGTTGGGAGGATCTCCTGAGATCAGGGGTTCCAGATCAGCCTGGCCAACATGGTGAAACCCTGTGTCTCAAAAAAAATAATAATAATAAAATAAATTAGCTGGATGTGGTGGCAGGCGCCTGCAATCCCAGCTGCTCGGGAGCTGCGGCACGAGAATCACTTGAACCTGGGAGGCAGCAATTGCAGTGAGCCGAGATCATGCCATTGCACTCCAACCTGAGCAACAGAGTGAGACTCTGTTTTAAAAATAAATAAATAATAAAAGAGAGGCAATTCTATTATTGGGTAAATCAATAACTCTTATCTATAGGGAGGTACACTAGAACAAGGATAAAGTTGTGATTGACAAAGAAGCAGGAGTCACTCGTTGTGACTGAAAAAGGAGTATTTAGTATTTTATGAATGACACCATGACCTTGTTTTTGTCTGTGCTTTTAAAAATATGGTCTTGTTTTGTCTCATTTTATCAGAGTAACCTTGATCTCATTTATCTCTGAGTAACCTTGTCTGAGGTTGATATTCTGTGAGATTGTTTATATCTCATAGGTGAATAACATGGCCTAGCTGTGAATGGCTAGCCAGCTTATCACTATCAGGGGCTGCTTTTTTCCCCTCATTTCTAACTTTCAGATAATTTTTCTTAGCACAATAAATACATAAATAAATGAACAACCTGCCAGAATAAATTTGATTTACAAAAATAAAATGGAATGCCACTCACTCAGGAATTATGAAGCAAAGTTCAAACCTGCTCACATTTCATCATCATCATCGTCATCATCATCATCATCAAGAATAATTGCCTTCTCAATCCTACCACTTCAAGGAAAACGTCCCCTGACGATAGCAAGAACAGTAAGCACGGTGAAGATCAGGCTGTGATCTTGCCAAAACATGTTGCTAAAAAACCTTTGCTAAAAGCTTCAGCCAACTGATACAGAATTCTCTCATCTTTCAGAAAGGACGTCCCTTTTTAAGTAGCAATACTGATAGCTAGACAACGTGTGTCAGTGACACTCTAAGTTTATTTAAAGGGACATATTCAGTGCCCAGGAAGTCCTAATCACTAAGTCTTAATGCTTCTCTCTTATTTACCAGCTACGTGGCACCCTGATGAGAGTGTTCACTATTCAGACCCTTCCCAGACTCCTCCCCACTTCTCCCTCCAGATGGAGTGCCCTGCACCTCCTGTTGCTCACCCCCTGACTGCAGTTTACTTCATTCATATATGGCTTTCTCAGGATCATGTCATTAACACCGGGAGGGCAACTGGGAACTGATTATGCACAGCATAATTTTTGTCATCTTCTTTGAGATTTTTGTGTCATTTGGCTGGCTTCCAACTATGTTCTTGACTTACGGCACCAATCCAATTTTGTTTCTATTAGTCAACTATGCAAATTTTTCCTTATCTTGCTCAGACTTTTATGAACTCGCTGAGAGTTTTAAGAACCAGGATTGTATAGATAATACAAAACAATCAGAATTCAAACTCATCTCCTTCTGACTCACAAACCACATTTTCTTTACCTTTATAGGAAAGCTTGCTTGATTTTTTTTTAAAGGAACATCATTACTTTTCTCCCTTTCAAACAAGACTTTATAGCAAAACTAAAGAAAATGTTTTTATACATAGTGGTTAGAAAGTATGTGACATTCTCCAGAAGTGGATGGCTAATGGAAGATAAAAATGAACTTAAGTGTAAGGTCTATCACACATTTGGCTTCCACTACTTCCATGAGTAATTCTCATCCTCCCAGAAACATCAAATTTAGAGCATCTCGTGAGCTGTGATCCAGTTGGGCATCCTTTGTGTTCCTTAAACAGCAGGACACAGAGCAAAAAAGGGAAGTGTCATGAGGGATCTGGGGAAGCATCTTCCAAGTGTGCATTGGGATTGAAAATAAACAGCTTTCTTAGCCATGACGTGCTCTCTCCTTTGCTGAATGTATTTTCCCTTGAGTTGCGTGCTACCTTTTGTGAAAGGAAAATATATCTTGTGGCCCCCAAATTACTAAGCTAAAGGGAAAAGTCAAGCTGGGAACTGTTTAGGGCAAACCTGCCTCCCATTCTATTCAAAGTCACCTCTCTGCTCACTGAGACAAATGCATATCTGATTGCCTCATTTGGAGAGGTGAATCAGAAACTCAAAATAATGCAACCATTTGTCTTTTATCTACCTGTGACCTGGAAGCCCCATCACCCCTTCAAGTTCTCCAGACTTCGCCTCAGTTGTCCCACGTTTCCAGACGGAACCAATGTACATCTTACATATATTGATTGATGTCTCATGTCTCCCTAAAATGTATAAAACCAAGCTGTGTCCCAACCACCTTGGGCGCATTTCGTCAGGGCCTCCTGAGGCTGTGTCATGGGTGTGTGCTCAACCTTGGCAAAATAAACTTTCTAAATTAACTGGGTCCTGTCTCAGATTTTCAGGGTTCACACTTCCATACATTCCTCTTGCCACGAAAGCTGAGTTTGAGGGATCCAGCATCTCCCATCACTTTAGCTGCTGTGTAGCCATCCGGCCCCAGTGTTCCATGACAGACTCTGGAATTAGATTAGACATGAGGGTACTTTTGTGGAGACCTAGCAAAAAACTTATTTCAAAGTAAGGATGGGAGGTTATGTTTTCCAAAGAAGACAATATCAATAGGCAGCAGGTAACAAGTGGTCAAAAAAAAAAAAAGAGATCATATACACAGACACATACACAAATACACACACGTATACATATCCCATGTAAGATACTCTTCTTACACTGTGACATTGACACTTGAGGGCAGGGTCTATGTGTGTCCCCCCACCCCACCTTGAATCTGGGCTGACTTCTGTGATTGCCTTGACCCACAAAATGTGGCAGAAGTGCTGCTGCATGACTTTTCAGGCTACGTCATAAAAAGCAATATGGCTTCTACCTGGCTCTCTCGCTCTCGCTCTCTCAGTGCTTGCTTTCCCTTGCGGTCCAGCCACCATGTTTTAAGGAAACACTGGCCACACAGAGTAGCCAAACGTAGGTGTTCCAGCTGATAGATCCACTAAGGCCCCATCAAGTGCCAGACAGGTGAGTGCTTGAGACTCCAAATGATTCTAGCCTCCTGTCTTCAAGTATTTCAGTCAAGGCCCTATACGATGTGAGCCAGAGGCAAGCCATCTCTATTGTACCCTATCTGAATTCCTCACTCACGGAAACCATGAGAGGTGATGAACAACTCATTTTAACTCATCAAGGTATGAGATGATTCATCATACAGCAATAGAGAATATGGACGGATTTAGCAGTTGAGACCTCTGAAAAATAGAGACATGGCAACCTTGAAACATGACCCTAGATATATATACTTCTCCTGTCCCCTCTTTCCACTGCTTCTTCACACCTATCAAATAACTTTTTTCAGGTTAATTATGGAAGCACTAGTGTAAAGTTGAAAATCACCATTGCACTTGTTACAACAGGAATCTCAAGAAATACACTCACTCCTACGTGACTACTGTACATGTGCTGTCTAACTTACATGGTTATCATATTATGTTCTTGAATTCATCCATTGTACAGTGGAAAATACTGAAAATATAAATATTTCTATCTCTGAGGTACAAAAGAAAAAGTTTGATTTGAGATTCAGTGAACTAAATTAATATCCTGGGTCCCTTAAAAATTTGTTTTGGTATCACTAATTTATTTTTCTCCCCACAGGGAGCTCAGTAAGCAGCGAGGCAGTCAGCCAGAACTTGAGAGTATCCAAGGGGCCCTCTACTCCAAAGGAAGCAATTACCAGACATTCTTCATAAAAGGTCTCATTTAATACCTGCATAAACCCTCCAATATGGTGAAACCCCATCTCTACTAAAAATATAAAAATTAGCTGGGTGTGGTGGCGGGCACCTGTAATCTCAGCTACTAGGGTGGCTGAGGCAGGAGAATCGCTTGAACCCGGGAGGCGAGACCATTGCACTCCAGCCTGAGTGACAGAGCAAGACTTCATCTACAAAAACAAAAAACAAACAAACAAAAAAACCTCGCTCACACCTGTAATCCCAGCACTTTAGGAGGCCAAAGAGGGTGGAACACTTGAGGTCAGGAGTTTGAGACCAGGCTGGCCAACATGGTGAAACACCGCCTCTATTAAAAAATAAAAATAAATAAATAAACCCGTGCAGCTAATCTACAGTCCCATTTTAAGGATGAGAAAACTGAAGCACAGAAAAGTAAGATAGAGGCTCTTCCTAAACACATTTAGATTATATAAATTAAACCATGCACATTCAGTCAAAATATAAAACAGGATACTTATTTTTAACAGTGCCCATGGCTCTAGCCATTTCACTCAATAAGCACTTGCTTCAGATATCCTGTGAAAAGACTTCACCTTAAAGTGTGTGGCCACACGGGTATACTTGAGTCTGTACTGAAAGAATGTGAAGATTGCAACACTGCACTCCAGCTTGGGTGACAGAATGAGACCCTGTTTTAACAACAACAAAAAAAGCGTGAAGAGCTTTCAGAGTTTTAGAGGTGATTTTGCCTGTACACACTAACTTAAGAAGCTGACCCTCATCACCATCAGGCCCCCACCCGGCAATAATTTGTCCAAGGTCATAAAACTAGCAGGTGGTACAGCAGAAGTTCAAAGTCAAGTCTATCTGACTCAGAATCATGTTTAATCCTCTCTGCTATATATATTTTTTCTACAAATCCACCATGTTTATTTGACAGATTTGCACGTCTGCTTGCTTGGGGAAATCTCACCTATATACATCATAATCAGGGTCACAACAACCAAGAGGAATGGAGTCCATGTAGAGCACTGGTGGAGAGCATTGGCTCTGGACCCAGCTGCCTGGGCTTTAACCCCAGCTCTGCAACTTACCTGCCATGTGAATGTTTTCGTTAGCTATTGTTGTATAATAAACCACCCTAAAAGTTTGTGATTTAAAGCAATAATTTACTATTAGCTCTCATGGTTCTGTGGGCACACTGGGTTTAGCTGGGTGGTTCTGGAGTCTCTCGTGCAGTTGCAGTCAGTATTTAACTGGTGCTACAGTAATATAAGGCTCAACTGGGCTTATGACATCACTTGTGCTGTATTTCCTTGGTCAAAGTTTAGTCACAGGGCCAGCAGAGATTCCAGGAAGACTCAACTTTGGAGACAAGCTACCATAGCAACCTTGGGCAATTCATTTATATTGTGCTTCATTTTTTTCCCTCCAAAAAAATGAAGGTGATAAAAGTGCCTATTTGATAAGATGTTATAAGAATCAAATGAGGTAGTACATGGAATGTGGTAAGAAGAGAACCTGGCACATAACAGATGCTCAATGAAAGTTACTACTATTACTCTTTCTGAGGCATACCATGCTAGATACTGGGGCGCTATTGCTTTATACCCCCTAAATGCCTTAATCACACTACACTACACACTACACTACTACTAATGCCTTAACCACACTACTTAATCATCATTAGGGCCATGATTATTCTTGAAGACAGCCTCATAAGGGCTTCCTGGGGACTCTTTGTCATGCTCCATAAGGCTCATTTCCACCAAGAACAAATGCAGAAGCACTCTCATTTGTTGTCAACACAGATTCCAATGATTGATGATGCCTCAAAGCCAGCCACACTCAACAGGCTCTCAGGCAAAAAGATCAAGGAGTGTACTCACCAACCCTCTTCAAAATTTTTAATAAGTTTATCAGTAAACTGTCTCCCATCCACTCCAGAACCCGAGCCAAGGATTTCTGCTCTTCCAGGGGTCAGCTTCAAAGACGCAGGGGCGAGAAGGGAATTCGTGGTTCCCAGTACTCTTGGCACCAGGCTTGAGAACTTTCTGCACAACAGGCCAGTTGACTGAGGTTCCTTTTGAAAAAAATGAGAGAAGTTACCCCAGGCTTTGCTCAACTGAAAGCCTACATGGTTCTCAGGAAATCCTTGGCCTGGCCAATCCACAGCCACATTCTCTATCACAGCACAAAGATTTTTACCAGGATCTTGCCACATGGAACTGCTGCATCAAAGCCTAAATATAGGTATTAGGGAGATCAGACCCACATGGTAGAAATATGGTAGCATCATTTAATGCAGGCTTACTTATTTGCCTTTTAGATTTCTACAGAATCCTCAGGAAGTAGCTGGGCATTGCTGTTCATTCTAAACAGAGTCACCAGTTCATCTACTTAAGTTCTCAAAGATCCTTGGCAAAGCTGGCCGTTTTAGTGAGTGGCACAGACTGATACTTGTGTGGTGGAAGTTGAGACACATCAGAGTGAACCTTCTGCTCAAAACTGCTTCACTTCCATTTGCCATACTTCATGAAACACCATCAAATGTTTTTTTGTTTTTTGTGACCATGTCCTCTTGAAAAAGAAAAATTTCCTAGATTTAGTTACTTCCTTGTGGAAATATATTAGTCATAGCTCTGGCTAATATTTAAGGGGGAAAAAAACAAAGGAGAGAGAGGAGGAAGATATATGTGTTGACTAGTATTTGAGCAAACAGTAGGCAAGGCAAGAGTAGAACTAGACCCAAGAGAAAACCAGAAGGAAGCAGGGGCTTGATATCTGTAGGACTCTCTACCTCTCAAATGTGTCTGCTTTTTCTTTTTATCTTGAGCAAAATCTCTACAATTGGAGACGTGTACACTAGCAACTATAGGCTTATATTCTTTTACACTTGAAAATCAGAGACAAGAGAGAAAATTGTGTCCCTGATAGTTCAAAAAATATATATCCTAGGGGAGAACTGTGACTGGCCAGTCTTGATTAGGTGGTATTTATCTATGAACCAATCACTGTGGCCAGGAAACAGAGTCATAAAATAAAAACTCCCATCTATTTCCTGTAATGGGAGATACAAAAGCGGTTCGTTAAAGGGAAAACAGTAAGATTCCCAAAAGAAGGAAGAGATCCTTGGTGCTCACACACCAAAAAAACTCATTAATAGCAACAACAGGTATTGTCAGCCTACAACACTTAAAAGTATATTATTTTATCAAATCAATTTTCTAGGTGAGACTAACGGACTGAGGAAAAAGAATGTTGCTGGTAGGAATGGGAATTGAAAAAATAAAGAAGAGGGGTCATTTTGACTGGGACTTGTATATATTTACAACTATATTTACAATTAATTGTAATTTGTGTTACTGTTTCATATAAATACATTTGCAAATATACATGTGACATAATTTTGCCTAGAAAATATATTTACTGCAGTCATGGCCTCTAAGAAGACAAAAATTAGATAAGGGGGCAGCAAGTCTCTGTATAAAGGATGCTAGGAGTGGTATCAGTTTGGGGTGGGGTAGTAGCCAAGAAAAAGAGTAAGAAAGGCAAAGTGAGAGACTTCAAAAAATAAACTTTACAGCCCTCAGAGTTTTGCCTTCAACACACAGCCTGTGGTTTTGATTTTTGGATCTGTCTGCTTTCCTCATTCAGTAGCTTCAGTTTTTCTCCAAGATAAACAATCTAGGTACATTCTGCCATGCCTCAGATGGAATCACAACATCTATTATGTGCCTGGATTTGCAAATCTAGTGCTACCTCCTTCCATTTCCAGCCTGAAAATAGTGGACAACTCCAGCAGGTCTCTGATGCAAATCCAAGTGCCTATAACAATTGCATGCCTGATGCAGAAAATTTCATTGAATGAGAAGAATCAGGACTGAAAAGAATCACATTTACTGGCTACATTTTGCCAAATGAGATTTCAAACTTTCTTTTTTGTTTGTTTTCATTGATACATAATTATTGTACATTTTTATGGGGTACATGTGATATTTTGACATATGCATACAATGTGTAATGACCAAATCAGGGTAACTGAGATATCCATCACCTCAAACATTTATCATCTCTTTGTGTTGAGAAGATTCCAAATCAAAGTTAATTCTTTGGTGCGTTTATTGAGAACAGCTACTCAGCTATTTTCCCTTTTACCTTCTCAGATATATTGTGTCCAGACCTTGCCCTTATTTATATACCATTTCCTCCTTCCATACACACACACACACACACACACAAACACGAGTCTCTGTCATTCCACCTTCAATCTTGTATTTCAAACTTTCTTTAAAATTTCTTAAAATTCTCAACCTCCTACATGAGGTAAGACCATGTAAACCTTGCTACTTGACTTTAGAACAGAGCGTTAAAATAGTTATTTGCTCTTTGCAGAGAGCATTGATATTCACCTGTACAACTGCTATATCAAAGGAGAAGCTCCAAGATAATTCAGCTCTCTTCCCCTGTGAAATGGGAGTAATCGTAGTCATGTAGTCATAGTGACAGGTGCAATGGTTCTGGGTCTGCAACACAGGAAAAGATCACTAAATAATGGTAATATCCACCTCACTCCTGTCAAAGAATGAACTTCAGTATTGGGGCCTTCTCAAAACATCTCCCAACTCTGTAGAAATCACAGTGTCTAATTGGCCAGGTCAAAATGGCCAAATCAAAATCTCCCCCTCTTTTCTTTTTTTGAGACAGAGTCTAGCTCTGTAGCCCAGGCTAGAGTGCAGTGGTGCAATCTCGGCTCACTGCTAGCTCCACCTCCCGGGTTCACGCCATTCTCCTGCCTCAGCCTCCCGAGTAGTTGGGACTACAGGCGCCCGCCACCACGCCCGGCTAATTTTTTGTATTTTTAGTAGAGACGAGGTTTCACCGTGTTAGCCAGGATGGTCTCGATCTCCTGACCTCGTGATCCGCCTGCCTCGGCCTCCCAAAGTGCTGGGATTACAAGCGTGAGCCATCGCGCCCGGCCAATCTCCCCCCCTCTTAATTCATTACCTTCTATCTCGCAGGAAGTTTTCCTCTTCCTCTATTTAAAGGTAATACTGTGCCCTAGAGACAGCTCCTTCACCCCCCTCAGTATTCTTCTCCCCACCTTCTCACCTCCTTCTAATCTTTTTTCCACCCACATCCTCCTTTCTTCTCCCTTTAGCCTCTCCCTCCGCAGGCACCTTCCTCTCACTTCCAAAACACACACTTGGGTCTCCAACTGATCTCCCTTGAAGAGGAAGTTGTATCTTTCTGCGCGAGGAACTGCCTCCTGCTTAGTAGGGCCAACATTTAAGGGGGAAGTGAGGTGAGTGTTGCGAGGGTCGTGGTTAGTTGGGGAAGGAGCTGAAGGACAGGAGAGGGAAAGGAGAGAGAGCATGAGAGTGTGGGAGCATGTTTTCTGAGGACTTAGTAAAAAGCATTCTGTTTACCGAGTCCTCAGAACACAAACGTAGCACAAGTTAAATCTTGCTGACCACAGTGCTGACACAGACCATGTCAGACATAGGAGGAGGACCATACAGCTGAGAAGAGTATAGAATAACACACAGGGAAAAACTAAAACATTGACAGGCTGCAGGATGCAGAAATATTACTGAAATTCAGTGGAGGAAAAAAACTTGGTTATAACAAATATGACCCATATAGACTTTCCAGGTTGATACTAGCAGAAGTATAGGTACAAAGCAATAGTTGTGGTCAAGTCAGGGAGATGGTGCTAGATTCCTGGGCTCTCATAATGAAGAGATTTTTCCACATTTTTTGGTGAAAAAAACAAGAAACCTGATATTACTAAAAGGTCACCTTCTTTCCACTCTCTAACAGGTGAAATTAAACTGATAGCTTTGTAAATTAAATTACATTTTCTCAATGAATGGCAACTACCAACAGGCTGTCTTTTATGATTGATCTTCCATTGGCTACTTGTCCTTAATGCTTTAGTTTTCAGTTTGTCTTCCCCTGTCAAATGGCTAATGAACCATAAACAAGCACTTAAGACAAGCACTGATTTTGTATTACTAAGAATTATTTTCTAATTCAGATTATGAACCCTCTTCCTTCTTTTATTTCTATAATAGTCTGACTTGTTTAGATTTTCTTAAGGAGAGGTGAATACAACAAAAGTATCTAGAAAAAAATTTCTTCCTACATCATGTTTCTAAATCCCATCGAAAGTGTTTTCTCTCTTTCCAAAGCCTCAGGATAAAAGAAAAGCCTATTCTTCCCTAGCCTTGTCATTCACTCTGAACGAGCAGCCTGACCTAGTTCTCCCATTTAGTTTCACAAAGTCCTGCGAGTACCAGCAGGAAAAAAAAAAAAGACCAAAACCCATTTACTAGTCGCTCAACATCAAACATATATACACAGACAGATTTTAAAATGAACAACTTAGGGAGTATGAATTGAATTTTAATATAATCATGGATTCAGATTTGCAAGAATATGACTTACTTTTCTCATAATTGAACTTTGTTAGTTTCCAAGCTCCCACTTTCACCAATGGGAAGAAAATTGAATCTTGTAATTCAAAGTAAATTAAATCATCCTGCTTTAAAACTCAAAATGGCTCTTTCTGGCCTAAATATTCAGTTAATTTTCAGGAGGCTGAGGTGGGAGAATCGCTTGAACTTGGGAGGCAGAGGTTGCAGTGAGCCCAGATCGCGCCACTGCACTCCAGCCTGGGCAACAAGAGCAAAACCCCGTCTCAAAAAAAAAAAAAAAAAAAAAAAAAAAATTCAGTTAATTTAAGATTTCCAAACTCCTCCTTAGTTTTCTCTTCTCTTTCCCAGTGACTGAATTAAAGTACGGGAGGTAGCAAGGGGTTTTGTATCATCCTGGCAACATGGGAGAGGCACTTGCGGCATGTTGAACTCTGTGCTGGCCTCTGTTCAGCTGGCCCTGGTTTACAGTAGCTGTTTCTACTGCACCTGCCACCCATTGTCTGCAGTCCTCCCTATAAAGACCTCACAGGTTTCTCCGTGTCCATCCCATCCCCACTATGAGTTCTCTCTCTCTCTCTCTCTCCATCCACTATGAGTTTTCTCTCTCTCTCTCTCCCTGCTTCTCCTGTACTCCCTCACTTCCCCCCCACCCCCAACACTCATTTGCCCTTCTCAGCCTATCTCTTCACTCACACCACCTGGGACTATGAAACATCATCAAGGCTCAGACTGGGTGCAGTGGCTCACGCCTATAATCCCAGCACTTTGGTAGGCCGAGGCAGGCAGATCAGTTGAGGTAAGGAGTTTCAGACCAGCCTGGCCAACGTGGCGAAACCCAGTCTCTACTAAAAATACCAAAAAAAAATTAGCTGGGCGTGGTGGTGTGCATCTGTAGTCCCAGCTACTCAGGAGGCTGAGTCAGGAGAATCACTTGAACCTGGGAGGTGGAGGTCGCAGTGAGCCGAGATCGCACCACTGCACTCCAGCCTAGGCAACAAAGCGAGACTGTCTCAAGCAAACAAACAAACAAACAAACAAACAAACAAAAAATGGAAACATCATTAAGGCTCAAGGTGAAGTGGACAGTGGTGCTAGTTTTCTCTCTGCTACTCCTGAGTGGTCACCATTTCTACTTAACCATGGCAACACTACCACCACTACTACCACATTGAATATGGCCTGCTATGAGTCTATCTCTTCTCAGAGTTTCCAGCAGGACATGGGACTTCGATCTTCTAATGTTCTCTAATCCTCAAGTCTATCAGAGTCTTCAAAGGGATCCATGTCCATTACTCAGTCTCTGACACCCCTCTATCTAGCCTTTCTCTCTCCTCCCTTCAGGTGGTCAACTGTTTCTCCCAGTTCATCAAGGAGCAAAAGACAAGATTTTACCCCATCATGCATTCTTTTGAATCTACTGTTTTCTGCATAAGCTCTACACTTTATTTCCCTCAAGGTTTTGGCTCTTGATAGACAAAGCCAAGTTCTAGGTCTTCAAACCCATTTTCTTTCTTCATTCTCTTGCCTTTTAAAGATTTCTTCACTACTAAGAATTTTGAAACATCAATTCAGCAGTTCAACTGACTTATTACTCTTGGTTGCTGTCTGCCCCCCACATCTCAAGAAATAGATACAGAAAACTACCACTATTAGCTGTGGAAATGGAGAGTGGAAACCTAAGTTTATGTTTCTATGATTTGCAATATCTTTATATTGCAGCTTGTGATTAATTCCATCAACAAAAGTTTTAGGGGCAGGCACTCTTCCAGGTTTGGGGCATTCCCTGCACTTATAAAGTCTGCACTCTAGTTGGGCGACATAGAATAGACAATTAAAGGAATGAATAAAGAAGATAATTTCTAATTATTGTAAGTGCTATGAAGTAAATGAAAGGGTGATATGATAAAGAGTGATTGGAGAAAAAAGATCAAGTAAGTTTCCTCTAAGTCGGTGCAATCTGAGCTGAGATCTGAAGAATAAAAGGAGTCAGACACGTGAGCAGCCAAGACAGGTCTTTCTAGGAAGAGAAAGGAGCAAGTGCAAAGGTCCAGTGGCAGGAAAGAGCTCAGTATGTTCAATGAACTGAGAGAAGGCAATGAAACTAGAACATGGTAGACATAAAGGAGAAATTAGAAAAAAGACAAAACCAAATTATGTGGATTTCAGTAGGCCATAGTAAACAGCCCAAGTGTTTACTAAACAAAATGAAAAGTCACTGGCGAGTCTTGATTAGAGAAATTGTACGTGTTGTATGCTTTTGAAAAGACTGCTCTGTTTGAAGAATGGCCAGTTGGGGAAGTAAGAGTAAAATATGATAGCTTTCACTAAAGTGCATCAAGAAGATTTAAAGAAGTAGATGGGTTCACGATCTATTTAAGAAATATCCTCAAGGAGAATTCCTCAGCTCTCTGTGAAAGAGGGTGGAAATGTCAAATTCCCAAATTGTATAATTGTGTCTTTATCATCCCATCATTAATACCAACATTTCAGTGCCAAGAGCTAACTCACAAATGCTCTTAACATCATACTTGGTTGATCATGAAAGGCTCTTAACCAACTGCCTAAGGAACTTTTGCATGCTAAGATAAGGCCAGGCATCTCATCGGCAAGCGCTTTCTCTCTAATCTCTTCTGACCCAAAGAACGGATAATAGTTCTCATACCAAACTGCATAAGAATGCTTATGTTCCAAGTGCCCAAAAACAATTTAATGGTTACTAGTTATGTTCCATCTTAACCTAATGTTAATTTTTTTTTTGTAAAATCCATATTGATTTCCCCCTTTAGCTTTTGGTCACCAGATAAATCACCCAGAGTTTCAGACTAATTGTTCTGATTATAGCTGGTCATTCTACACCTGAAATAATAGCTACATTGAGAAGAGATAACAACCAAAACTCCTTCAAAGTTCAAAGTAAACCGTGTGTGGTGTTCGTGAGTTATACATTTCTAAAATAGGCAAGGGTTAGGGATGTTACTAGAAAAATTAGGGATCTCCTGTTGTCTTATGTCCTCACCAGCATTCTGAACATTAGAAAGCACACACAAAATCTGGCAGTTAAATGCAATTCAAAGCACTGACAGCATTAATTGGCCAGGTTAGTGCTTGAGAACCTCATAGGATAGGATTGGCCTGGCCTGGAAAATGCAGCATGAATGTGAGAACTAATTCTTCTATTTTCTAAATTTCTGAAGCTGTAGCTGAAAGACATTTCTGGAGAGAACATGGCTGCAAATAAAACTCAATCTACCTCCACATTCACCTGCACAAACTTAGTTGGTATCCAAATAAGGAAAAAGGAGGATTGAGAGATGGGCTCATATAATGTTTTTCAGTACCTTTCCTCTATGCCGCAGTAAAAATGATCTCTAATGAATACCCCAAAACTGTACAACTGTGTTAGCTACTCTTCCTGCCTTTACGAGGGATAGGTAAGTAACTAAACAGGGAAATATTCAGTCTAATATAATCTTCTCATAAAAGGGAGAGTAAAGGTCTCCCACCCATCTTGGGACTATACTCTTGTGTAGTCGACTACAAGAAAATAAACAGTAGCTTTTAGAAGTACAGTATTAACCTGAATAAAAAAAAATTTCCTTCACCTTTGATCTTGTGTATAAGCTGAACTTCACTGGAGTTTGACCCCAGAGACAGAGGAGGGATCTGTGTGAAGGATAGTGTTTGCTGTTCCTTCACCCCCCAACAAAGTTGAGGGTCTTTCTTTGGCCCACTGCTCTTTTCTCTCCTTAAACTTCTCATACTCTTGTATTACCATTTTTTAAGCTGATAACTCTCAAATCTGTAACTCCAACTATAACCAGCTCTATTAGTCAGGGTTCTCTCTCTACATATATATATATCTATGAGATATATATATGTATCTATCTATGAGATAGATACGTATCTATCAGATAGATACGTATCTATCTATGAGATAGATATATATCTATGAGATACATAGATATATATCTATGATAGATATATATCTATGATAGATACATATATATCTGAGATAGATATATATCTGAGATATATATATCTATGATAGATACATATATATCTGAGATATATATATCTATGATAGATACATATATATCTGAGATATATATATATCTATGAGATAGATATATATCTGAGATAGATATATATATGAGATAGATATATATGTGAGATATATATATATATATATATATATATATATATTAAAGGGGAATTTATTAAGTATTAACTCACACGATCACAAGGTCCCATAATAGACCGTCTGCAGGCTGAGAAGCAAGGAGAGCCAGTCCGAGTTCCAAAACTAAAGAACTTGGAGTTTGATGTTCGAGGGCAGGAAGCATCCTGCACAGGAGAAAGATGTAGGCTGGGAGGCTAGGCCCGTCTCTCTTTTCACATTTTCTGCCTGTTTATATTCTAGCCGCACTGGCAGCTGATTAGATTGTGCCCACCCAGATTAAGGGTGGATCTGCCTTTCTCAGCCCACTGACTCAAATGTTAATCTCCTTTGGCAACACCCTCGCAGACACACCCAGGATCAATACTTTGTATCCTTCAATCCAATCAAGTTGACACCCAGTATTAGCCATCATAAGTGTACCCCTTGTCAACTTGAACCCATACACATCTCCTGAGATCATAAAGACTAATAAGGTCATAATTATGCCTAACTTAATACAACTATCCTTTGTACAACCAGAAATGCACCAATCTCCAATCTGAATACTATTACATAAAGTTAACAATACTTAAATGCTGATGTGAATTCAATAAATCTTGTTTTACATGATAAAGGAGAAAGAAAATAAAATGAAGATATTTCCTTAGTACAAGTGTGTACATGCACAAACATGTTTGTAACAAAGGAAGGAGGAAATACTCATGCCAATTACAGTCCTCCTTTCTGCAACTGGTCACATGGTCATAGATGGTATTGATGACTACCTTCTACTACCCATTCTGTATTCCTTTTATCTTCAGCAAGCACCTCAGCAGGTTGTGGTTTTTTTCCTGGTGGAGTGGCACAAACCTTCATTCCTGAGGGGTCTGGGTCATTTGTAGTCCTGCCTGGATTGGCAAGGCTGTTGGGCTGTTGTAGTTTCCCATTGACCTTAATCACAGGACATGGTAATACTAAGAGACGCCCTAATGGATCTCCTGTATTCCATGCATACTTTTCCTTACCTCCGTTGTGGAGTAGTAGACTGATTGCATCTTGATAGTCTGGGTCAGTCACCCCAGCCAACACTGTAACTGCCTTCTTAGCCTATTGACTTAAAGGTAGGAGGAGCCCAAAGTGTCCAGGTGGCAATCTTAACTTCCAGTTTAATTGAATCCTTGTTGTGTCTCCGGGTGGCAGCATTCCTCCCTCTGGAACTAGGACCTCTAGGCCAGCAGAACGTAATATCGCGGGAACAGGAAACAAAAATTTTGCTAGTGGATCACCAGGGGTGATGGTGAGTGGTGCAACTTCCAATTCCACCCCTTGATTCCTGGACCCGTGAATCCTGGCTATGGGAAAAACAGTACCACTGCCACACTTCTTTAGCCATAAAGCAAGTTCCTTAGTCAGAGGCAATGCTGTGTGGAATATCATGATGGATAAGGCATTTCGTGAGTCCATGGATGGTAGTCTTGGCAGAAGCACTGCATGCAGGATAGGCAAACCCACATTCAGAGTAAATGTTTATTCCAGTGAGGACAAACCTCTGCCATTTCCATGACAGAAGAGTTCTAATATAATCAACCTGCCACCAGGTAGCTGACTGATGCCCCAAGAAATGGTGCCATACCGAAGGCTCAGTATTGGTCTCTGCTGCTGAAATTGGGCACTCAGCAGTGGCTGTAGCCAGGTCAGCCTTGATAGGTGGAAGTCCATGTTGCTGAGCCCATGTGTAACCTCCATCTCTGCCACCATGGCCTCTTTGTTCATGGGCCCATTGGGTGATAACAGGGGTGGCTCAGGAAACAGGCTGAGTGGTATCCACAGAATGGGTCACCCTATCCACTTGATTATTAAAATCCTCCTCTGTTGAGGTCACCCGTTGGTGAACACTCACATGGGATACAAATATCTTCACAGTTTTTGACCTCTCAGAAAGGTCTATCTGCATACCTCTTCCCCAAATTTCTTTATCACCAATTTTCCAATCATGCTTCTTCCAAGTCCCTAACCATCCAGCCAAACCATTGGCTACAGCCCATGAATCAGTATATAATCACATATCTGGCCATTTCTCCTTCCATGCAAAGTGCACAACCAGGTGCACTGCTCAAAGTTCTGTCCACTGGGAAGATTTCCCTTCACCACTGTCCTTCAGGGATGTCCTAGAAAGGGGCTATAGTTCTGCAGCTGTCCACTTTGGGTGGTGCCTGAATATTGTGCAGAACTATCTGTGAACCAGGCAGTATTCTCTTCCTCTGTCAGCTGATCATAGGGAACTCCCCATGAGGCCATTTGTGCAGGCTGGGGGAGAAGGCAGGGTGGCAGGAGTGGGGACCATGAGCATTTGAGCCACTTCCTCATGTAACTTACTTGTGCCTTCAGGACCTGCTCAAGCCTGATCACATATACACCACTTCCATTTGATGATGGAATGCTGCTGTGCACAACCCACTTTATGGCTAGAGGGGTCAGAAAGCACCCAGTTTGTGATAGGCAGTTCAGGTCCCATGGTGACTTGATGACCCATAGTCAAATGTTCAGTTTCCACCAAAGCCCAGTAACAGGCCAAGAACTGTCTCTCAAAAGAAGAGTAGTTATCTGCAGAATATGGCAGGGCCTTGCTCTAAAATCCTAGAGGCCTCCACTGTGATTCACCTATGGGGGCCTGACAAAGGCTCCAAACAGCATCATATCTGCCACTGACACCTCAAGCACCATTGGATCTGCTGGGTCATATGGCCCAAGTGGCAGAGCAGCTTGCACAGCAGCCTGGACCTGTTGCAGAGCCTTCTCCTTTTCTGGACCACATTCAAAACTGGCAGCCTTTCGGGTCACTTAATAAATAGGCCAGAGTAACACACCCAAATGAGGAATGTGTTGCCCACAAAAATCCAAATAAGCCCACCAGGTGTTGTGCCTCTTTCTTTGTTGTAGGAGGGGGCAAATGTAACAACTTTTCCTTCTCCTTAGAAGGAATACCTCAACAGGCCACACACCACTGGACCCCTAGAAATTTTACTGAGGTAGAAGGTCCCCAAATTTTAATCAGATTTATTTCCCATCGTCTGGCATGCAAATGTCTCACCAATAAGGCCAGTGTGTTTGCTACTTCTTACTCACTGGATCCAATTAGTATAATATCATCAATGTAATGGACCAGTGTGATATTCTGTGGTAGTGAAAAGAGATCAAGTTCTCTCCAAATAAAAGTATGACACAAAGCCAAAGAGTTAATATAGCCCTGAGGTAGGACAGCAAAGGTATATTGATGGCTTTGCCAGCTGAAGGCAAATGGCTTCTGGTGGGCCTTAAGGACAGGAATGGAGAAAAAGGCATTTGTCAAGTCAATGGCTGCATCCCAGGTACCAGGAGTCGTGTTAATTTGCTCAAGCAATGAAACCACATCTGGTACAGCAGCTGCAATTGGAGTCACCACTTGGTTAAGCTTATGATAACCCACTGTCATTCTCCAAGATCCATCTGTCTTTGGCCAGGCCAAATGGGAGAGTTGAATGGGGATGTGGTGGGAATCACCACCCCTGCATCTTTCAAGTTCTTGATGGTGGCACTAATATCCACAATCCCTCCAGGGATGTGAAATTGTTTTTTATTTACTATTTTTCTAGGTAGAGGCAGCTCTAACGGTTTCCATTTGGCCTTTTTCACCATAATAGCCCTCACCCTACCAGTTAGGGAGCCAATGTCGGGGTTCTGCCAGCTGCTAAGTACGTCTATGCCAATTATGCATTCTGGCACTGGGGAAATGACCACAGGATGAGTCCAGGGACCCACTGGACCCACTGTAAGTTGGACCTGAGCTAAAACACCATTAATTACCTGACCTCCATAAACCCGTACTTTAACTGGGGGACAGCAATGACGTTTTGGGTACCCTGGAATCAATGTCAGCTCAGAGCCAGTGTCCAGTAGTCCCTGAAATGTCTGATCATTTGCCTTTCCCAATGCACAGTTACCCTGGTAAAAGGCCAGAGGTCTCCTTGGGGAAGGATGGGAGAAAAATTCACTGCCTAAATTGTTGGTAATGTAGAGGGGTCCTTCCTCAAGGGGACCCACCCTCCCCTTCATTCAAGAGGTTCTGGGTCTATAAACTGGCTTAAGTCTGATAACTGATTGAGGGGCTGTGATTCTCTGTTTTATAATTCAAACTAGTCTTTTGTCCATTCGACCTAGAAGTTTTCTGCTTGTAGAAATTACGTAGGAATGCAGTAGGCTTCCTATAAATTTCACTTCTAGGACCACCATGATTAATTAGTCAATGCCAGAGCTCTACATGAGTCAGACTATTCTGATTGCCACTTTGCCTCTGCTGTCCATTATGGTAGCTATGCCCACCTTGTCTTTGATGGTTGAGTGCCACCACTTGGCCCCTGCTACCTCGGGATCCAATTATTCCTATTATATTTAAATTTTGTAGTTGAGTGACTGTGGTTCCCACAGTTAGATCTGACACAGAGAGAAGAGCAATTATAGGGCTCTTCAAAGATGCAGGTGCTGCCCTCACAAAACTATTTCACAAGGCATTTGTCAAGGGTATATCTTCTGGACCCTCCCAGCTGGGCCAAGTAGATCTAAAGTGACTAATCCACTATACCATCCCAATCTCCCTAAACCTTTGGATCCCTTCCTCAACATTAACCCAAGGGAGATCAGGCATTTCCAGCTTCCTCACAGTGGGCCATCTTTTAATCCATATTTCAGCTAACCAAGCAAATAAACTATTAGAACCGTTTTTAACTCCCCAAGCTCCAACCTTAAATGCAGAGTCCCTACTTAGTGGGTCCAAATCAATAAATTCAGCCTGATCCAACTCTATGTTCCTTCAGCCATTGTACCACACCCTTAATACCCATTCCCATGTCTGTCCTCCAGATTTCTGCTTATATAAATCAGAAAACTCAAGCAGTTCTTTCTGAGTGTAGCACACCTCCTATTGGGTCACACTCTCAACCTCACCTCTATGGGCACACCAGGACTTTAGTTATAGGCCTAGAAGCAAACAGGGGTGTTGGGGGCAGCTCCTAAGGAGAATCAATATTATCTTGCCAGGCAACTGCCAAAGGGGAGTCCATCACTGTTGCCTCATGCAGTGCAGGGTTTAACTCCTCAGACAAAGGTGGAAAGGCTGATGGCAGCATGGGTCAGGGAGGGGATGTTGCCACTACTGGGGATGGGGAAGCTGTTTCTTCTGGCAAAAAGGTTCACCAGAGTTTACAAACTCTGTGTCCCCAGCTTCACCAGGGTCCTCCCACACATCCTCATTCTGAGTTGCAGGGTCCCATTCTTTTCCAATCAATGCCCTCACTTTAACAGTAGACACCTGGCGAGACTGTACATGCACGTTTTATTGCAGGTCAGCCACTCGCATGATAAGAGCTTATGTCTGTTTTTCCACAATTTCAGCTCTTTCTCTGCAGGAGATAACACTCTCACTCAGGGCAATCTTAACAGATTTGAAGCTCAGTATCTGCTTCCGAAACCACAAGATGGAATCCCTGAGTTCATCATTTGTTTCATCACTTTGTCCACTGAACTTAGGAGCAATCAACCAGCTTCATTATGTTCCTTGGTTCTCCACATACGGTAAAATGTATTATGTATAGAGTCACTAACCTCCTGGCCTTTCACGAGCAATGAATCAGGAGCGTCAAATGCATTTATTTTGCATAACTTTCTAAACAGTTCATGCCAAGGACTATCAGTTCTCCATACTATTAGAAGTAGAGTCCTTAGCATTTTTGGTTCTAATCATATTAAACAGCTAACTCCAGAAACCCCAAAACCAACAAAAGAATTTCATGCTTAATATTCTATTTCTCTAGAACCACTCCTGGAACCAAAACCTGTATTAGTCAGGGTTCTCTAGAAGGATAGAACTAATGAAATAGATAGATAGCTATAAAGGGGAGTTGATTAAGTATTAACTCACACAGTCACAATGTCCCACAATAGGCCGTCTGCAGGCTAAGGAGCAAGGAGAGCTGGTCCGAGTTCCAAAACTGAAGAACTTGGAGTCCAATGTTTGAGGGCAGGAAGCATCCAGCACAAGAGAAAGATGTAGGCTGGGAGACTAGATCAATCTCTCTTTTTACATTTTCTGCCTGCTTATATTCTAGCCTCACTGGCAACTGGTTAGATTGTGCCCACCAGATTATGGGTGGGTTTGCCTTTTCCAGCCCACTGACTCAAATGTTAACCTCCTTTAGCAACACCCTCACAGACACACCCAGGATCAATACTTTGTATCCTTCAATCCAATCAAGTTGACACTCAGTATTAACCATCACACCAGCCTATGAATTTCAGATTCATTCATTCACCTGCCTGCTATACATGGCCATTGGAAGTCCCAGAAACATCTCAAAATAAACATAAGCTAAATTGAATATTACAGAAATTATTAGCTTCCCTACTTATTCCAATCCTGAATGGTTCCTTCTTCTAGATTTCCAGTTACTGTTAATGGCACTTCTACCATGATATGGTTTGGCTGTGTCCCCACCCAAATCTCATCTTGAATTCCCATGTGTTGTGGGATGGACCTGGTGGGAAGTAATTGAATCATGGGGGCAGGTCTTTCCCATGCTGTTCTTGTAATAGTGAATAAGTCTCATGAGATCTGATGGTTTCATAAGGGTGAGTTCCCCTGCACAAGCTCTCTCTTTGCCTGCCACCATCCATGTAAAATGTGACTTGCTCCTCCTTGCCTTTCACCATGATTGTGAGGCCTCCCCAGCCATGTGGAACTGTAATTAACCTCTTTCCATTAAACCTCTTTCTTTTGTAAATTACCCAGTCCTGGATATGTCTTTATCAGCAACATGAAAATGAACTAATACATAACATTTATCTAAGTCACCAACCCAAAAAACTCAGAGTGATTTTAGACACCCACCCCAACACATATTTCATCAATTGCCAAGTTCTGCTAATTTAATATATTCTATATGTTCTTAAATCTGAATTCCCAAAACTTACACTGGTTTGGATGCTCAATTCTTTCTTGAACTACAAAAGCAATCTTCTAGAAGGTCACGTTACTACTAATTTTTGGTCCCTTACATCCACTCTCTACAATGTCACCTATCTAAAGTGCACATCTGACCTCCCTTGCTTTAAACCCTTCAGCAACTCCCTATTGCCCACAGGGTCAAATACAAGTTCTTTAGCACAGTGCACAGGCCCTTCAATACCTGCTACCCACCCACTCTTAAACCTTACCTGTCTACCACACTTTTTAAGTTCTAGTCATCAGGCCACTTCCCTTCACACTCTATGATTCTTCAAATCTCTGTGACTTTATAAATGTTATTTTTTTTTGCCCAGAATACCTTTCTGTCTTCTTTCTCATAATTATTTCCATCCATCGTGATTCAGCTCATGTCTTTTCCTTCTAGAAGTTTCTCCTGGACCTCCAGTTTCTGCTAAGTGCCCCTTCCCACCCTGTAATTCTATAACACCTGCATCTCTATCTTTTAGTAAGTGCACAATATTATACTAAAATAACCTATGTACATTTCTGACATTTTAGGGTAGTCAATCAGGAACAACCCTCAGTCTGCCATCCAACTTAGAAACAAATTGAAAAAATAAAGGAGCTAGGCAGATGGAGATAAAAACATCACCTTTATTACTGATAAAATTAATATTGGAGAATGTAGCAAAGACCTGTAGCCAAAATGGCTATGAGTTAGACATACCATGCACCATCCCTGCTGGTTCTGAACTTCCAAAAATCTCCCCCAACCCTGACCCTGAATATTCACATGGAGGAGTCAAAAAGAATGTATACTTTCTTCAGGTAAGTATACCCCAAATAAAAGAAGAAAGGAGGTCACTGAGCCACTTAGGCTCTGTTCTTTCTCAAAGAGAAGGCAGCCCTCCTTACCCAGAAGGAGTGAGAGGAAGGGATGGGGCCAGAAATCATGAGTGCTGCTCTAGTGGGATGCCTCCATGTGGAAGCATGAAGCCAAGGAAAATGAGGTTTATGCCAAATCTCTTTCTCTCTCACTGGATGGTAAACTCCTTGGAGGCAAGAACCATGTCTTATTACTCTTGGAATTTACAAAGCTGACCTCTGACTATTCACTAATTTAAACATTTCCTCAGTCCTAATCATTAAAATCAATTTTGGGTGATAGTGACTGAAGGCAACACAGGAAGAAATCAAGGTAAAAGCAAAAAATATAATAGTATCTAGCCTGTATTGGTGATAATTTTTTCAATGTCTACAAATGTAATCAGATGAGAAGGAAATGGGAAAATACAATCACAAACAAAAAACTATTACACTGCCATTATAGAATTATAGGTGATATTTTTAATAAATAATCTTATTTTGCATAATTTTTGGGGGGGAAAATGTTTTAATACATAAGACAGTATAGTAGATATTGTTTTTTCTACTCAGAAAAGCGCCCACTGTCTCTTCTGAAACTATTTCTTCCCCTCTCCAACCATGTGATTCTGGTAGGAGCTTCCAGACACAGTACTTTACTTCTTGGGCACGGGCATGGGCACTTGACCACAGTCAGACCAAAGGGTCCTGGCTAATGTAGGCAGGTGGCAGGAAGAGAACTCCCATTGGAATCCCCTATTACAGCAAGGTCTGGTGTGCCTTGTGCCTGGTAGGAAACCTACATCTACTTTCATATCAAAATTTAGTGTAGTTGAAGACAAACTTTTCTCCAGAAAAATAAAGAAATCAAAGTATCTGGACGAAGCAGTACCTCTCTCATATTCCTCTTCCTTCTCATTTTCCCGCCAGTGCTTATGAGAATAGCGGCTTAGGCCCTGTGGATTTGTGGCATCTCCTTGTTAAACATCCTGCAGAAAGCTCTGTTAAACCACTACCACCAGACCCTACTGCCTCCTTCCAAATATCTCTGGGAGTCCCAGCAGGGGTATCTCCATGCTCAGGAGAAACTCTAGCCAACCAGCAAATGTCCTCTCTCACTTACCCCTCTCCCTATGGTGTCACCCTCTGGCTCAGTCCCCAGACAATCAGAAAGGTCACTGTTCCTAATGGCTCTTCTGCATGGTGTGCAAGGGAATGGTTGTCCTGGCTTAGAGGAACAACTCTGTCAAAGCTCCCTGAGGAATTTGAATAACGTGGCTGTATTAGTCCTTTCTCACGTTGCCATAAAGAACTACCTGAAACTGGGTGATTTATAAAGAAAAGAGGTTTAATTGACTCATAGTTCCACAGGCTGTAGAGGAAGCATAACTGGGGAGGCCTCAGGAAATTTACAATCATGGTGGAAGGCAAAGGGAAAGCAGGCATGTCTTATATGGCTGGAGAAGGAGGAAGAGAGAGCACAGGGAGGAGCTACACACTTTTAAGCAACCAGATCTTGTGAGAACTCACTCACTATCACAAGTACAGCAAGGGGGGAATCTGCCTCCATGATCCAATCACCTCCCACCAGGCCCCTCTTCCAACATTGGGAATTACAGTCCGACATGAGATTTGGGTGGGAACACAAATCCAAATCATACCAGTGGCCACAGCAGCACACCTTCTTGGGTTGCGGAGGGCCCAGCCCTGTTCTTGCCCCATAGCTGGAGAGCTCAGCTCCTCCAGGTCATAGCCAAATGATGGTTGTTTATGCCCAGTTAGAAATGTGAAAAATGTTTTGCTGGGTGAAGCGCATATATCTTTCTAGGTAACAATGCAGAACGTGCATTAACATTCCTGGGTGCAGTGGCTACTGCCTGTAATCCCAGCACTTTAGGAGGCCAAGGCAAGTGGATCACGTGAAGTCAGGAGTTCAAGATCAGCCTTGCCAACATGGTGAAACCCCATCTCTACTAAAAATACAAATATGTGCTGGGCATGGTGGCACATGCCTGTAATCCCAGCTACTCGGGAGGCTGAGGCAGGAGAACCGCTTGAACCCAGAGGCAAAGGTTGCAGTGAGCAGAGATCATGCCATTGCACTCCAGCCTGGGTGACAAGAGCGAAACTCCATCTCAAAAAAAAAAGAAAAAAAAAAAGAAAAAGGAAAAAGAACGTGAATTAACATGAATTGCCTCCATTTGATTATTTTCCTGCATTTGTTGCTTTAAAAGTGGAGTGAAATAAATTGAAAGTTCATACTCTAAATTGTGCTATTTAGTGAAACTGACCATTATCATCTTGGCCATGGTGCTTCTATTGTGGACTGTACAAAAGCCTGCAAAGTGAAAGATTGGAGAGCCATCCCCAGACAGCAGTGTGAAGTAGTTCTTGTGCTCTTTGGAACAAGGGAATCCTAACTGAGCACTTTCTCTCTTGTTTTTTCAGTGGCCTTTTCATCAAGGCACCCAGGGCTCCATGTTCCTGGGCATCTCTGGTTAAACTGAATGAACTTGGCTCATAATCTTTATTCATAATAAGATATAATTGCAAATTAGCCCCTCTCTACAATATGTAAATGTTTAAAGAAAGTTTTCTGTTAAAGCAAGTCATTATATGCACAATTATGCTACCAAGCAGGAAGTTCACAGTGCTCTGAGAGTATAAAACAGGACCCAATCTTGTCTGAAGTATCTGAGAGAGAGCCTCCCTGTGATTGTCACATTGAGTTGATAGGATATAGTGAGACCAAGATGGGAAAGAAAAACATTCCAGAGCAGAGTAATAATAATATGTGGGAAGAAAAAAGTTAACTTTGTGTGAGCGTGTGTGCGTGTGTGTGTGTGTGGTGCATTTGAGTTGTTAAAGGAAATTTTATATGGTAAGATTCTTAAGAGAAAGGAAGACTGATGCGAGAGAAGCTCATACATGTAGGCAAGAGAATATTCGATTTGGAAAATGTTTTGGTTTATAGCTACTCAGGCTATGCAGGCTGGTTCTGTACTCAATTCAATATGTTTGAGGGATTATGGAGGTTTTTGCTCTGGGAAAGGTCCCCATTCATTCATTGGAATCATGATCCCTCTGGCAGATATCAGGTCTCTTTTCCACCTCTTTCATGTAATCAACAATTCATCTCCAGAATGGTTCTTCTGTATGTCTCTGCACTCATTGGTTTCTATGCTTTAATAGCCTGAAACAACTTCAAATTGAATTGCCTTTTGAAGCTACCAAGGATTCCCAATTCAGAAGCAGACAATGCAGCATCAGAATGTGTGTCCTCCTGGATCAGATTTTTCCAATGGGATTAAACAGGAGATATCTCTTGGGTTTTGCTGGCATACAAATAAGCCAAGAATATAATAAAACTCCAACATTATTACTGCATCCTACTCCCTGAAAATTAGCAATAAGCCCCTGCCTATAATGTTTCCCTTGGACGTCTATGAATAATTTCTAATTATATGAAAGGTATTCTGTTTTCCCCAGGACTGGCCTACATAAAGCACTCTTGAAAAACTCTCTTCAGGCCTCCAGAGTTGTGGTATTGCTAAAGTCCTGCCCTTCATGATTAGATAGGAAGTTTACTCTTTCCATGTGCAGAAGTCAACACTCTCCCTAGGATGGAGAGACTGAATGACTTGGCCAAAGTTGTAAAAGTAATCCATGACCGAGGCAGACAAAGAACTCTGATTTTCTCCTTTGTACACAATCCTTAAAGCCAAAAGCCTAATCCCTGTGTTAGTTGTTTAGCATAGTGGGATCATAAGTAATTGTTATTGTTTTCAACACTTTTCAGACATTTTTAACAAGAAATAATTATTACTTGTATAGACCAATAGAAGGCTGTAGTTTAAAATATTGAATCTGGAAGACTATACAGTCCTCTGCTGGGTATTTTTTTTTATTATTATACTTTAAGTTTTAGGGTACATGTGCGCAACTTGCAGGTTTGTTACATATGTACACATGTGCCATGTTGGTGTGCTGGGTATTTTTACATCTGGGTATGAAGCTGATTCTATCTCTACCTTCCTTTGATAACAATAATTAGCTTGAATAAGATACTGTGAAATAACTATTATTACTCTTATAATACAGATTATTAAACTGAGGCTTAGAGGGGATAAATAACTTGCCCAAGGTCACTTGTTAGTAGCAGATAAGGAGTCAAACCTATGTACTTCTGACTTCAAAATCTGTGCTTTTACTATTAAGCTATACTATCAGATCATCAGTTTGCTATGTTCAAAGATCATAATTGAATCAGCAAAGCTGAAGGCCAACCCTGGATTCCATACATAGTCCCTATAATTCTTTAAGCTGCAAATAATTCAAACTAGCTCAAACAAGAAGAAAGTGTATTGACTCACCTAATCAAAAGACCAAAAATAGGATGAGCTTTAGACCCTGTATAATTGAGACTCTAACTTGATTTCTGGTCTTTCTCTTTGTTTGGCCTTTGTTCGGGTGTTAATTTTTGTCTTTATGCTGGCTTCTTTCAAGGTCTTAAGGCAAGTGCCAGAGCAATGTTGCCTCTTCCCATTCATCAGGAAAAGACCTAGTTTATAGTGGCTCTCTTTTACAAGTGAGGACATTTCTCCCATAGAATCCACCTACAAGCCTCTTCTAGTATCTTATTGGCCCAAATTGTGTCAAGCTTCCCACTCTTGAGCCAATCATTGATGCCTGGACTCAATTTTCCAAGCAACCTACTTGCAACTCATTAAGTGGGGTGTAGGGGAATCAACCATGGTGAACCTTATATCATGCAATGGAATATTTTTTCTGAAGTTAAAAGTGATATTCTCTAAGAATATTACAATTTGGAGAATATTCTAACAATATAACATTAATTTCTTAAAAAAAGCAACATAAAAATAAAACCTTATATGCAGTAGGTTTACTTTTAGTGTGTTTTTATGTATGAGTGTTTACAAGAACACATAGAAAAGTTACAGAAAGGAATATATTAAAATATTAACTGTGCTTATCTTTGAAGCAAAAGACAAAGGATCAAAAGGATTTTTTTCCCAGCACTTTTGGAGGCAGAGGCAGGAGGATTGATTGAGGCCAGGAGTTTGGGACTAGCCTGGGCAACATAGTGAGACCACATCTCTACAAAAAATTTAAAAATTAGCCAGGTGTGGTGGCTTGTGCCTGTAGTCCTAGCTAAGTTACTCAAGAGGCTGAGGCCAGAGGATCTCTTGAGCCCAGGAGTTCAAGGCTGCAGTGAGCCATGATTACGCCACACTGCTTCAACCTGAGCAATTGAGTGAAACCCTGTCTCTAAAAAAACAAAAATAAATAAAAATTTTTTAAAAATTAAAGAGGATTAAAAAATACTTTTCTTCATTTTCTAAGTTTCCTACAATGAAAATAAATTGCTCTTTGCGTATACACCATTGCTTCTTCCAAGCTCCCAAGAAATATCCCAGCAGCATAGAAAACGGTCTCTCAATGTGAGAGCATTCACGCTGATAACAGAAGAGTGACCCTTTTCAACAAACTCTCCCTTATCCAGTTTTAATCTCACTACCCCCACCTCTGACATGCTCTTTCAGTTCTTACCGGTAGGAATTCCCAGACTCTGCAGCTCCTTCGTTAGGTAATCTATCTTCAAAACTAGCAGGGTCATCCTTTCCCCAGTCAGCCCTTGTTGAAATGAATCCCTAGGCTTGATATAGTGGCTAAGATGGGAGTCAGGGGCAGACCATCAAGAAGATGAGTAGTTTCTGGCACAGCATCAGCCTTAGTTGAGACCTGGTACATGAGGAGCAAGGGGAAGATTCCATCCTTCTGTGAAGGGCAGGAGACCCTTCATACAGGCCCAGAAGATTCAGAGGAACCAGAGTTTCTGGTTCTCAGGTCTATCTGTCCAGAAGACCCCAACCCTAGTCCCAAGATCTTCTTCCTACTACAGCCCTGACTTTGGTGTGGATAATTTTGTGAGGCTACAAATTTCAGCCCTCTATGAAGTTCTGCCAATTTTACAATTTTGTCTTGAGCCTGGTCCACTGCAGAGTGGGACCTGGGCACAGGAGATGAGGATCTCTAAAGCTGTAAGGGGGCCTCTGACTTGCATACTCTGCCTCGAGTTGGTAATTAACTGACCTAAGCTTATTGTTTCTCTCTCTCAGCAACAACCAACCAATTCCACACAGTTCAGAAAACAGAAACAGGTATATAAAAATGTAGCGCATGGAATTTTAAATAATTGAAATTATTAGAAATTCAAGATGGAATTTCAAATAATTTGGAGAATTCTGAATTATTCAATTAATAGTGTGGGAATATCTATGAAGCAAGGCAGTAAGATCCCTACTTCACATCATACCAAAATAAACTCCAGATGGTATTAAATGTAAAAAACAAACCCCAAAAAACTTCGACAACATTAAAAAAAAAGTACTACTATTTAAATAACCTAAATCTAAAGGCTTTCTAAGCATTTCACACACAAAAAAACTGAAAAGTTTGAAAGTTTTAACTAATTTTTAAATATTTTAATATAGTTTTTTGAAAGCCTCCCATAAATAAAACTGCAATATTTGTAAGACATATAACATGAAAGCATGTAATGTATATGTATCTGTGTGTGTGTGTGTGTGTGTGTGTGTATATATATATATAGCTGGATAACTATGTTTTAAAAAGCAAAAATAAAATGAAATAAAATAGACACTATCAGAACGTAAATTTCTTAGAAATAAATTAGAAAAAAATTAACACATTAATATAAATGTGGTAAGTATGGAAGTCACAAAAGGAGTACTTCAAGTGACTAAAAAACACACAACAACCTATACACCCCCACTGGTTTTAAATAAATTCCAATAAAAATATGTTATTATTTACTTATCACATTGGAAGAAGTCTTCTTAATAATTGTCTCCATTACTTATATGGAAATTTAAAACAACCTAAATGTTTAATCATTTAAAATTGCCAAGATACATTGTTGTACATTCCTAAAAATTGAATATGCTTACATTCACTAAAATTGTTTAGAGTTCAAAATAATATTTAATAGCATGGAAATGTGTTCATGATATATCATGCAAAGCAATAGGTTTTGAACCTTATGGATAGTATTGCTTTGTGGAAATCACATGTTTATGTGTGCATAGAAAAAAGACCTAAAGGCTATTCTAACAATAATTTGACTTTTTAATTTTTCATTTTTGTTTATATTGACTAAATGTCTTAAAATGAGCATGTGTTATTTTTGAAATAAGATTTAAAGTGACTGTTTATTAGCTTTAAAAGGTACAATTTCCCAAACTCTCCTTAATTAAATGTTTATTGATGTTTCCAACCCCACTTGTGATAAAGTTTTGGGGAGGAATGAGGAAAATTGCAGATTAGCTAGGTGAACTTATAACAGCTCATTGGTGTGTCTGGATGAGGGGTTGTGAAGTCCAGTGAGGTAGGCCTCAACTTTCTTCTCCTCGCAGGCCTAGGGCCCCTGTGTACCACAGGCCAGGCCCTTCCTTGGTTTAACAGTGGCCTTTGTGCTTGCTAGAGTTCATATTAGCCTGACTACCACTCACAGCCTCTTCATCAGAATGTCAGCCCCATATTACAATGTCAGGCGGTAGCCTCAGGTGCAAACTGCTTCCCTGGTGATGACAGATTTATTGCATTTGAAGGCAAAGGTTCTATAAATTTCAATTAGGGCCAGAAAGAATTCTACCAGAAAGCTTTATAATAATTAAGCAGAAATGTGAGTCACTTGAACTGAATATTATGGAAGTTTCACTAGAGATTTCTTTCTTCTCTGAATGGCAAATATAATAAAGGCCTAAAAATAAATGACAGTAATCTGCAAAGCTTTCTTCCTCTCTAACAGAATTGGTCAGATTGTCCCCCTTGGGGCTTGAGGTATACGTGTCATGCACACTGCCATTCAAGGGTTATGGTGCTTTATATTTGTTTCTAGTGTGATGGTATGAGCAGAGTCAAGATATTTTCCAGCCAGGTATCACACAGGGTCGATTCAAGGAGACTGCTTTCTGAAAGGAAAAGAGAAGGCTCTTTCTGGATGCAGTCTGGCCATCCTCAAAGCACAGAGTTTCATAGAGCAAAGCAAGCCACAGAGAATACAGCCCACCATGGCAGACCACCAAGCCTGCATCCTGAGCATTACGTCACCAGGAATTCACACAGTGGCCAGGGCATTCCTGATGATATCGATGATGTGGTGTGTTTGTATTGGGCTTTCAGTCACGAGCCAAGACTGCGAAGTCAAGCCCAATCTAGTCTAGCTTCTTAGTTTATAGCCTAGTGACCAAGTGTGGAAGAGCTAGATCATGAAAAAGCTTGGTACAAGGTTATTATAGGCACTGTTGGAACAGAGTATGTTTTCCTCTGTTTCTTTCTCTTATACATATCTATTTGACAAACCATTCACCATGCATCCATTTACACATGAAGAGCTGAAGCAACAAAAGCAATGTGAAGAAGCCAATCGCAGCATGAAGTTGGTTAACATATTTGATCAGTCAACACCTGCAAGACTCTCAAGAGGCAATTGTCAGACTTCATAATAGCTTACTTTTATATATCACATATACAAATAAATTTATATTTATCTATACACAAAAATTAATTTGTATTATATATAATATCTTACATTTTCCAGCTTAAAAAAAAAAAAACAAATAAATGACTTGCCTGGTCAGCAGCAGAGACAAGCCTGGAAACCAAGAGGATTTTTTCTGGTCCACATTCATCAGTGAGTAAAAGAGGCACTGTCAAACATACTGAATATTGCGTGAGAAACACACTTGTGGAAGATAGCACAATGTAAGGCTTCAGAATCAAAATTGACAATTTTAATGACCACCAATAGTCAGGGTCCATGGTTACAGAGGTGTAATCCCAGCTACTTGGGAAGCTGAGGCAGGAGGATTGCTCAAGGCCAGGAGTTCAAGAGCAGCCTAAGCAACATAGTAAGAACTCCCATCTCTAAAAATAAAAAATAAAGAGCACCAACTATAAACAAGACATTGTGCTAAGAGCTTAGGGTTTACAAATACAGTTAGGATATGATCCCATCTTTCAAGGATGGAATTAATGGACTGGAGGAAGAGATATACATAAATCACTCTAACACAAGATAGATGGTGGCATCATAACAAATATACAGAGTTTAAAAGATATATTTGAGGTGACCTCTGAACAGTGAGTAAGACTTGGACAGGTATACAAAGACAGGGAAAGCTTTCCAAGTAAAACAAAAAGAAGGAGCACAGGGGCAGGGTTGCAAAGTTCAGGACGTGTTTGGGAGAATGTCCCGTTTAGCTGGAGTTAGAGGTACACTTCTTAGCCTCTTGGACCCAAAGCACAAATTACCTATAACTTCTCTTTAGGAGGCTCCATAGGAAGTAGATAAGATCTCAGAATTGCAAGTGAGTTCTAATCCTGGCTGGGCCACCTCCTAGAGGGCAAGTCCTGATGACATCGGTCAGTGACTTCCCCATTTTCAGTCTTGATTTTCTCTTTGGTATGTGGAGACAATAAATGACCTCGTGGGGTGTTCAGAATATTCATTTAGTCAATCCACAAATATATATTGAGCACTTTCTGTGGGCCAGCACGGTTCTGTGCATTATGGATAATGAGGTAAACAAAACAAGGGATAGTCCTTGCCCTCACAGGGCTCTCAGTCTAGTGGGAAAAACAGATATTAAATAAATGACAGCTATTTATCCTTCATTTATCAGCTTAGGAAGGTCTTTCCTGAACTTTCTTCCCAGCCTCCTCTCTAGTTTAAATGAGGTCTCCCCCAACCCCTTGCTTTATCTTCTTTCATAGGTCCATGTACATTTGTTTGAAGACCCTTGTCTTCATTTTAAGTTATAAGTTTATTTCAGTAGTAGCTAGGTGAAAAGCACGTTAAGGAAGTTCCAAGTAGAACCTCTTCCAGCAGCACGTTTGATGCACTTGAGGTGGAAAATAATTCAGACCTGTTGAGGAATTAAAAACTCAGTGTAGATGAAGCAGAAGAAGGAGGCAGAGAGATTCAAGACCTATCTGGAAAAAGAGGCATGGGCCAGATCATGCAGAATTTCCTATGCCAAGATTAAAAACATTTTATTTTATTCACATTGGCCTGGGAAGCCATTGGTGGTTTTAAGCATGTCAAAGTCTGTGATGAATGAGAGTGAAGTGATGTTGCAGGTTCTTCCTTAGCAGTTGTTCCATTTCCCCTGAAATAAAGGGGAGAGTGGCCCTTCCCCAGTCTGTTATTGGTTCATGACCCCAGTTGGCACGTGACCCAAATTGGTCAAATCAGAGGGATGCCTAGGAATTTATTTCAGCAGTTAGAGGAAAGAGAATCCCCTCTATTGGCCAAAAAAAGCATGCAGCTCCAGGAACTTCCTGGTAGCCATTTTGCCATCAGAAAGAAAGACTGCCTGAGGATGAAGGCAGCCTGCAGAGGCAGGCCCAGGTGAGGGATTGGCAGAGAGGTGGAGCTCCCAGATTAGCAGGCCTGCTGTCATTCGAAACCCCCGGAAGTCTGCCCCATCTATGGATTCACTGGGTACTAGAGCCAATAAATTCCATTTGTAATTCAAAATCAACAACAACAACAAAATATTAGAGCCAAAATGGTGATCTTAAATGCAAAGCTCTTTAACATGAAACTAGGGAAATGGGAATCTAGCGAGGTGATCAAGGAAAGTGATTAGGCCTCAGGAAAAAGAAGTTCCATAGCGGAGTCACAGGGCCTCATAGAGCTAGAAATGGAAGAAAATCTAAAATCAAAGGCCATGCAGGCTCCTCTGATCTTCGTGAATCTTCATATTAATGTCCCATCCCTAATATAACTGTTCTTCACGTGTTTTTCCCACTTCCAACTGGCTTTCTTGTTTCTATCTCTATAAAGATTTTTTTCTGTATGATAATTTTTACTAAGAATGAGGAGGTTCATACATTTGGAAAGGAGAGCTTTATTTCTCGTAAAGGGCTGCAGCCTGCAGCATGGCCATTCTGACAGACTGGGAAACACAGCCTCTGGTCAGATGCTAGAAACAGACACTTCAGGCCTTGGTAAAATAACCAACGTCTCCAACTGTGTCCTGTTTCAAAAGAAAACAGATTCTTACAAACTTATGCAAATAACCATGTTGCCATAAAATAAGAATACTCATGAAAAGTTTCCAAATTTTGGAGAACTGAGGTAGACAGAAAGGTAAATTCTGCTGACAAAAGTATACTTTTTACAATTAGAGTAGCAGCCTTCCAATCAGGATGTTGTCTGTTCACCTTGAAACTGCCATCCTCAAATCAAGCAGCTCATTGTCAGTCAGGTGAGAGCTGTTTATCAGGCACTGCAGAATCCAGCAACTCCTTGCACAGGTCCAGAGTCAACTCTATGGGAATAAGGGCTCCCTGTATATGAGTATCTCCTCCTTGCATTCATCAGGTAGCATGATAAGTCATTCCAATTGGATTACGGAACTCTGGGCACTTCTGGGCACTGCTATCCCCATTAGGGTGCTTCTCTGGCATCATCCCAGACAGCATGGGTATTTCAGGTGTCAAGATCATTTTATATTCTTTACATATGGGTGGCTTCAGTTAACATCTCATAACTGGTCATTAAATGGCCCTGAAGTGGAAATTCTTTAGTCCGAAGTTTCAGCAGTCATAGTTGACAGGTGCTCACAAGCTTTGGCCACAAGCCACAGTAAATGCTCCACAAAGGGCTCTCAACTGGAGAACTGGGTCCTTTGCGATGTTGAATGTAGCCCAGGCACTACCAGCACTCCAGTTTCTACTCTACGTTCTAGGCTCGGGCAATGTTATGGGTTCTCATTTAGAAAGTCCAATTAATATTGCTTGATGGGTGGATTTACATGCCTTCTGTTTTATAGTAGTAGGTAGGAGAAACATCCCCCAGCTGGATACAATATTCATTTTCATAAAACTTTTAGGTTAAAAGGAGTCACAACCACTTTACACAAAGCCTATTTAAACATTCCAGCTTTCAAAATCGTATCAACCTTACATTTTTATGTTCTGGTCTCAGGAGCTTCTTTGTTTCCCACCCCTCAGACCATTTTACTTTCTCTGGTGAAAAAGGATTTGGCTTCTCAGCCAAAGGATCAGGAACCCTTCTGTCAATCCTCAACACTGCCCCAGGCAATTTTCGTTGCACTCTTCGCTTTCTGACTTTTCTTCAGAAATATCTCCAGCCTAGGGTAAATACAGAAAAATGATTTGGAGCCCTTTAATGTTGGGAGATCAGCGTCTCCCTTTGGTCCACCCAACCTTCCATAGTGTTGTGTTAAGATCTTTGTTTTAACCCCACCAATTTCCATTTTATTTATTTCATCTCTTAATAACCATCTAAAGATTTTCACCCTGCTGGGTCATGGGACTCTCCCCTTTCTTTTTTCCCCTTAGTTTCACCCCATCAATGTTTTCTGTATTCATTTTATTTCTTAATTACCCTTTAAAATTTTCCACTTTCCTGAGATGAGTCCTTTGACTCTCTCATTTGCTTTTCCCATTTTCTTATTAATTAATCTAATGTTTTATTAGCATCTGTAACATGAGGGAAAGCTGGAACAGCAGACTTGATAAGGATCCTCGAACCTAACAACATCATCCTATGGAGTGCCCATGCAGAAGGGGCCCCCTTAACCACAGCATTTACCATGACCTGGGTGATGGGCACATTCAGCGCATGACTGTCCCTGACATCATAAATCTAGCTCCATATGGCTTGCATACAAAGCGTATCAGTTGCTTTACCTGGGGGCACTCCACTAGGCATTTATAAGGAGTTGGGCAGTCCCTTTCTTGGAGTAAACAGATCTTACAGTAGCTTTTATCCAGTACCCCAGGCTGGCCGTTCCCTCGAGAATAATCTCCTGTTTGTCAGGATCATATATATCCATCTGCAATTGTACAATAGTGAGCTGTGGGTCCTACATCAACCCAAACATGCTCTTCTATTCTGCAGCATTTAAAACCAAAGATACTGATATTGTCCCTAACTTGGTTACTCTTAAAATCCCATTTTAGTAAAGGTTCCTCAGGAAGCTGATAATACTGATCTACAAAATGGAGCAATTCCTTCACATGATACCTTCTGATTTGAATAGTCACTTAGCTTTGCCGTTCTCCCCACATTGACTATCTTCTTGGTAACCACAAGTCTCAGAGTTACTTTCATAATTGTATTATGCAAATGAGCTTTCCACTTGTCCGGGCACCATCTTGTCTGCTGCTTACTGCACGTGTGGCTGACAAAGAGAGAAGGGAAGATGGAGCCACTATTTTGAACACGATTGGCACAAACTACCAGCATCTATATCTGCAGCCTGACTTTACAGGCTGCTCTTGTTAGAAAATGATTTGGGGACTGCTTGTCATTAAAAGGGAAAACCTTACCAAGGACTCTAGCACTCATTATCTGCCTAAGTGATTTCTTCTTAAGTCCTATATCACTATGATGGATAACAATAACCAAAGGAATGAATATTTTGCTTTTTCCTTATTAGTTTGCATTTCCTTATGCATCCAGTGAACCAACTCCCCCAGAGTTGCATCCATCTCTAAATTCCACTGGTAAATTTTACCTTTAGTAACTGAATGCAGCACAGCTGCTGCTTCATACCGTAGGTGAGCCAGCGGCCACGCAGGAATCAAAGCTTCCTCATTCCCCATCCTTTTTTTTCTCCATTTAGTTTGAGCTATATCATTTTGTCCTTTGTTCTGAAGCAAACTTTAAATAGCCTCTAACCAAATGAAATTACTTTTTCCTTTAGCAAAAATCACATCCTCATTTTTTTTATAAACTTCACCAAAAAACACATCTTACCTTCTTTATATACTCTGTATGTAGAATTGCTTCTCTTATGTCTAGTAAGGGAGGAGACCACCCCTCATATTGTCTTATGCCCAATTTCTGCCTCCAAAGAAAGAAGTAAAAACTAAAAGGCAGAAATGGAATCCACAGGCAGACAGCCCGGCGCCGTGCCCTGGGCCTGGTAGTTAAAAATCAACCCCTGACCTAACTGTTTGTGTTATCTATAGATTTCAGACATTGTATGGAAAAGCATTGTGAAAATCCCTGTCCTGTTCTGTTCCGTTCTGATTACTGGTGCATGCAGCCCCCAGTCATGTACCCACTGCTTGCTCAATCGATCACAACCCTCTCACACAGACTCCCTTAGAGTTGTGAGCCCTTAAAATGGACAGGAATTGCTCACTTGGGGAGCTCCGTTTTTGGAGACGTGAGTCCAGCGATACTCCCAGCTGAATAAAGCCCTTTCCTTCCACAACTCGGTGGTATCTGAGGGGTTCTTGTCTGCGGCTCATCCTGCTACACTAGTAGTTTTAATTATATATGTTAACTACCATTCTAACTCTTCATAACCCTAGTTTCCAGTGAAAAAAGCCAGGATTACTTAATTTAACCTAACTGTAAGCTTTCAAATTAGTGAAGAGAATTTTGGTTGTTTGTGTTGTTTGTTTTGAGACAGGGTTTAACTCCTGTCACCTAGGCTGGAGTGTAGTGGCATGATCATGGCTCACTGCAGCCTTGACTTCCCCAACTCAGGTGATTCTCCCACCTCAGCCTTCCAAAGCATGTGCCACCACACCCGGCTAATTTTTTTGTATTTTTAGTAGAGATAGGGTTTTGCCATGTCCTGGACTCAAGCAATCTGCCCACCTCGGCCTCCCAAAGTGCTGGGATTACAGGTGTGAGTCACTGTGCCTGGCCATGAAGATAATTTTGAAACTAGTTTTATTTACCAAAGATTACCAAAGTCTTGTGAACTAAAAGGTATTTCAGCTAGCTTCTATTTTTCAGATATTCATATCAGAATCAGCTCTTTGTAACAGCTCTTTCATATATTTTGGTATAGGAAAGACACAGACAGAGGCAGATCTTAAAGACTTATAAGATTCTTCATTTGCCAGTTTTCAAAGTCTCTCCCCTACTTTGGACTATCAATCTCTTGTGTACCTGTTTCATGCCCTAAACAATTGTTAGCTAGTCAGCTCTAAATTTGCATCTCCAAAGACATGACTCAGGTGAAACAAGGTAGAAAATGTACATCTCAAAGTCACAGACTTAGATCTGGACAAAGGCAAGGTTTGTTTTTAGATAACACTACTGCCATTGTAGCAGGACGAGCCACAGACAAAACTCCTCAGACACCAGATTAAAGAAGGAAGAGGTTTTTATTCGGCTGGGAGCATTGGCAGACTCGCGTCTTAAGAGCCGAGCTCCCTGAAAAACAAATTCCTAGCCCTTTTAAGGGCTTACAACTCTAAGGGGTCCACGTGAAAGGGTCGTGATAAATCAAGTAAGTGTGAGGAACGTGACTGGGGGCTACGTGCATCAGCTAACAGAACAAAAAGTTTTACAGTGTTTTCTCATACGGTGTCTGGAATTTACAGATAACACAAGTAGTTTTGGTCAGGGGTTAATATTATTATTATTATTTTAACCGCCAGGGCCAGGTGGTGGCGCCAAGTCGTCTAGCTATTTATCTGACTTCTGTTTCTTTCCAACTTTTTGCTTTCCCCCTTCTCTCCTGTCTTATAAACTAGGGAAAAGAGGAGGTCGGGGAGAAGCTGGGAAGGACAACAGGAGAAGTGGTGGTCTCATTTCATACCATCAGCCACCTCTAACACTGTAGCTCTCACCCGTAACTGGCAGTCATCACACACACCAAGGTCAAGTTTTCTGACAGTACAAAGTAATCTCTGGTATCACCAAAAGCCAGACATTAGGTAATGCAATGCAAAAGAGAGCAGAGACTTTTTATTTTATTTTTTTTTTTTGAGACAGAGTCTCGCTCTGTCGCCCAGGCTGGAGTGCAGTGGCACGATCTCGGCTCACTGCAACCTCTGCCTCCCGGGTCCAAGCAATTCTCCTGCCTCAGCCTCCCGAATAGCTGGGACTACAGGTGCCCGCCACCATGCCCAGCTAATTTTTGTATGTTTAGTAGAGATGGGGGTTTCACCATATTGGCCAGGCTGGTCTCGAACTCTTGACCTTGTGATCCACCCACCTCAGCCCCCCAAAGTGCTGGAATTACAGGCATGAGCCACTGTGCCCGGCCTGGAGAGCAGAGTCTTAAACCCGGGAGTAATCTGTCTGCTTACAACTCTTGGGGCTCCATAAGAAAAAACAGAGTTACCTCCCAAAAAGGAGTCTGTGGTGCATTTTTGGTTTTCCTTAAGGGATCCCAAGCTGTTAGAATTTATTTTAGGTCCTCATGGGGGTACTGAAGGTGGCAAGAGAAACAAGGGACAGACAGAAGTAAATGAAGAAACAGAATTCAATCAAAGAGAAGAAAAAAAGTCTTTCAAAAAAGGATCCAAAAAGAGAAAAAGCATAAATCCCTTTTAGAAAATTATAATTATACCTTTGATATCGGCTTTTAATTAAGCTGACTTCTAACCATAGAGCTCTTTAAAAGAAAACAAAATCTTCTCAAATCTTACCAGATTTTACCAAACCTTTTGAATCTAGCTTTTGAATTTCTTTACCAAAGGTAACCTCCCAAGTGAAATCAATAAGGCTTAACCAAGGACCCATGGGGCATCGCCAAAGAGGTTTCAAAGCAGTCGCACAAGATTTTGATCCATCCCAAAAGACAGCTCAATGAAAGGAAAGTCTCACCTGCAGCAAAAGGAGTACAACCCACATTTCTGCTGGGCCATATTCTCTAGGGTCTCAGCTTCACAGCTGACCATCTACATACAAAGACCCAAAAGCCCTGCAGGCCTCCACAGAGGGAAGACAGAAAATGAAAAGCTGTCCTCAAAAGGGAAAAGGATCAATAAATGGCAAAAAGTCACACAAATATCAAACCAAAAGGATTTCCTGACTGGGAATCAAATGCAGGCCATGGCAGTGAAATCACAGAAATTTAACTATTAGACCACAAGGCAGAGTGGCTTTTATTGTTATTCCCTCAGGGCAGCTTAAGTAATCAGTTTGAGCTTACAAAGGATTTTAACTTTGCTTTAGGTCAGATTTTTGATCTTTAATTTACTCAAGAGAATTTTTAAGGTTAACCATGAGACTATTACGTGTCCTTTAAAAAAAAATGGCTGGGTGCGGTGGCTCGCGCTTGTAATCCCATCACTTTGGGAGGCCGAGGCGGGGCAAGGTGGGTGGGTCATGAGGTCAGGAATTCAAAACCAGCCTGGCCAACATAGTGAAACTCCATCTCTACTAAAAATACAAAAATTAACCGGGTGTGGCCTGTAATCCCAGCTACTCGGGAGGCTGAGGCAGGAGAATCTCTTGAACCCGGGAGGCAGAGGATGCAGTGAGCACAGATAGCACCACTGCACTCCAGCCTGTGCGACTCTATCTTGGAAATAATAATAATAATAATCTCCCATGGTTCTTAAGTATGTAAGCCAATGGGATCTTTTATGGTGGCTGAGAAGAGACTGTCCCTTCAGAACTAAGGGTTCTCTATCCCTTAGACCTAAAGTTCTCTACAACTGCACTCACTTTAACTAGGAGTCCCTTAGAGTGCCCTTAGCCTTACAGACCAGCTGTGACCAACTGGACTGGGAAGCACCCCTAAACCTGGGGCTGACAGGGGAGAGCTCCTCAAGGGTCCAGATGGTGGGAACCAAGAAGGCTACAAAGGCCCCCTCCCAAAACTGGAGTCAACAAAGACGTTCCCTCTGGGATATGGATGGTGGGAAGCAGGACAGATTGAGTCGGGACTGGAAAGAAAGAAAGGGAAGGGGTAGAGAGAAATAAAGTCTGTGAAATCTTCAACCTAAAAGCAGGAGATCTTGGACCTGAGGAAAATGAGCCAGCTTCCTCCCAGAACAGTGAGGGAGACAACTGAGCAGCAGACGTGGGTCTGCTGACTTCGGATCATGCTGGGGGAAACTGGGGTTCTCCATGGATCCCACCTTCATAGCCAACCATGTCAACTATAGAACGGAGAAGTTCGTTTAAGTTTAGAAAGGAGAATTTTATTTCTCATAAAGGACTGCAGCCTGCAGTGCAGCCATTCTGATAGACTGGGAAGCATAGTCTCTGGCCAGAAGCCAGAAACAGATACTCTGAGGGAGGGGCAAAGGGAACAGGAATTTATGCTGAGGAGGGTGGCCGAATATGCATATTCAATAAGCTACAGGAGGAGTCATGAATATTTATGAAAGGAGAATCCTGTATGTGCAATTGAGCTTCACGCCCCCTTCATGGGTCCCATGTACAAATAATGGGGCATCAGCATGACTCGAGGGTGGTGTGTTCAGCCGCCGACATCAAAAGCAGAGGACACAAAAACCTTTACTGCACATTCTCTGTAGACTGGCCAGAACCACACCATGGTCGGTGGTCTCTTACCAGGAAGAAATGCTGGTTGGTTGTTTTGTGAAAACCACAAAGGGGACGGGGAGCAGACAGGCAGCTGATTGATACTAGTGATGGAGTCTTTAGGAAGGGCTGGTTTCTGTTTAGCCCTTAGGGAAGAAAGCCCAATGGCAGTTAGTAAGGGAAGGGGCATAACAGGCACGTCTGACTTCCCATGTTGTCCCGGCCAAGGACTCAGTTTTCAAAGTTACTCTGGGTTCTCCTTGGCCAGGAGAGGGTCCATCCATCAGTTGGGGGCTTGGAATTTTATTTTTATTTCACACTTACTTCCAATGTTGGCTTACTTACCCATGGCCCATCATGACCCTCAGATCGAGCTCTTTCTATTATATTACTCATCAGCTTCATACTCCACTACAGGCTGCCTGATTATCCCCCCATTTTCCATTCGAGTTCCACAGAGTGGGAATCTACCCAACCCAACTCCTTCTTTGAACAAAGCTCATCACACCAAACCATTTCACAGACTGTGGGTTGACTGTTCTCTGGTCATATATAACCAAAGAGGGGAAACTCATGGTTGCCCCCATCAGTTTTTCTGAGCATGCCTGAGGTAGATTAGGCCCTTGAGTGACCTGTGTATACACCAGGGCTGATGGGGGTAAAAAAGCAAACACTCTGGAATCTCAGTCCAAAATGTTGATTTTATTACTGTAAGCAGAAATTTTTAATTTTTAAAGGATTAGAATGCTATCAGTGTTTGGTGTCCTTGAAAAGACTTCCTTTGAACCAAGAAATAATCATTTACTTCATTGGGAAACAAAATGAACCATGCAAATGGAAATTGTGAGTGACTCATTTGGACACTAATTGGGGGAGAAAAAGTCTGCAATTGAATGTGCATCTGCTTAAAAGCAGAGTGCCTCTGTTAGAACCAAGTATGTTTTCTTTTATTTATTTAAAAAAAAATTCCTCTCCAGGCTTTTTAAGTAGATGAAATGTAACCATAAATTCAACAGCATTTTCTTCATTGTTACTAGGGCCCAATGGAACCAAGACATCTCAGCTTCTTAAAGAAAATTTAAGAGATCCCTGGGATTGTGCTGCCGTAGAGGCTTATTTGTGAGTCTGGCGTCTGTGTTGCATTATTGTCTCTAGTCTGATTTATTTGAAGGTGATCTCCATGCCTTTAAAAGAAGAATGTACTATCATTCAAGCAGTAGCAGAAGCCTTAGCTCCAAGCATGATTTCACTGAAAACATTATGTCCACCTTCCCCAATACACTTCTCTGTCTTTTCACCCCATTCAACTCATCTATTCCTCAGCAGCTAAGTCAATTTTCAAGGCTGGGCCTATTCATCGGCTGATATTTCCTCCCTTCCTTTGCTCCCCAGACACTCTCCTAAAGAGCAAACTTCAGGGGTAGGAGAGAAGTGGGATGCCTGAGGCTGGGCCCCCTCACAGGCAGACAACCAAAAGAGCAGGATCTAGCTCCAGGTATGGCAAATTCAGATAACTGTATTTGCTCTCCTTAGGATCAGCCACATTCTGGGAACTGATTCCTGCTCCCTAAAATCACAAGACACCCATGAGAGCCAATTTCATTTGGACAGAAAGCAGACCTTAATGGTGACTGGCAGACTCTTGTCCACTGTGCAGGGTATAGCTCCCTGGCTCCACTCCTGTCACCTCACCCCCAGCTGTCAAATTGCCTGGGAAACCGACTTGTCACCAGAAGATTCATGGCAAGCATGCAATTCAAACAGGAATCTGGGAGATGCTGCTGGTCTTATCCCTACTTCACTAGGCAGCGCCGCTTTAAACGTGACTAGAAAGCTCACATCCTCCAGACACAGTGTCTCTGTGCCTCTGACAGTGACAGATTGGCAATGACGAATTCTTACCAAACACTTGCTGTCTCAATGTTCCTTAAAGTCACCAAAGACTTCTGTCATTACAACATACCTTTGAGACAGAAATGTCACCATTTCTAAGATGACAGCCTTTCATTAGCTACACTCTAAATTGATGCCTTCCTTCTTGCAGGGAGCATCGTGGGTCCCTGGCTGGGAGCTGAGAAGCTCCCTCATCTTATCAGGAACACTCATCCGAATCATTTCTTCCTGAATAGATTTCCACAGATGAGCAATCTCATTCATTTAGGATGCTACTATTCATTTTCATTTCAAAACTTGTCATGTCCTTGCTTTGTCCCCCAAATAGTGGAAACAAACATGGCTCTAAATCTACAAGTGAGTTCAAGTGTCTCGAGTGCCCATATTGTGCTGGACACTAGAGGTGGGGTAGGATGCAAACATAGTAGATATAAAGTTCTTGCCTCTAATCAATGTATGCTCTGGAGATGCAAAACATCTCAAACACAAAATAAAATAATCCAAATGCTATATGGCATGGTAAAGGAGTAATCTAGGGGTGGACTACTCTGAGAGTCCAGGAAAGATGGTTTCAGGGACTTTGCATTGTTAGTCCCTATAGTGGATTAAATGATGGCCCAAAACAAGATACATCCATACCAAGCCCCCAGAACCTGTGAATGTGACCTGATTTGAAAAAGGGTTTTTGCAGATGTCATTAAGTTAAGGATCTTGAGAAGAGATCATTCTGGATTACCTAGGTGGGCCCTAAATCCAGTGACAGACATCTTTATAAGAGACAAGAAAAGCAAGAAGAGGAGATGGTGACGTGAAAATAGAGGTAGAGATTGGAGTCATGCAACCACAGGCTGAGGAATGTGTGGAGCCACCATAAGTTAGAAGAGAAAAAGGAAGATTCTGCCCTGGTGACTCTGGAGAAAGTGCAGCCCTGCCAACACCTTCATTCCAGACTTCTGGCTGCCAGAACCATGAGAGAATAAGTTTCTGTCATTTTAAGCTAACAATTTTATGGCAATTTGTTATGGCAGTCAAGGAAACTAATATGGTCCATCTGCCTGGGATACTCTGTTCTCCCGATTGCTCAGGTCTCAGCTTTAATGTAATGTCCTCAGAGAAGCATTTTCTGATGTCCCGTCCCCACCCCACAGCTAAATTATTTAATAGGTCCCATTATTATACTTATGGCCAGCTCCATGTCTGTTTCCTTCCTGGTACTTAGTGTGAAGTCTACTTACTACTTAAGGCAGAATAATTTATTGAGATATGAATTTATGTTTGTTTTTGCCTAAAAATTCCCCATTGAGGAGATTATAGGGGAAGATGTAGAGCAAGAGGGAAGAAGCAGCCAGGAGAGGAGTAATTCTCAATTGAGTGGTGGGGCGGCCAGCACATACTCCACTCCTTGCAGCACCCAGGGAGGCAGGGAAACCTCCAAGGGCACAGCTGGACCACAGGCGCCTGTGCCCCATCCTCACAAAGATTCCCAGTCCTGAGTGCAGAGCATCAGCCCACAAGGGACCCTCTGCCACAGTGGTCCATGGGCATGATCCAGTGTGACCACGTGGCCATTACTGGGATGCACTTTCCTAATGTATTTGATGCCACAAAAAAAAGTCTGTGTATCTTTTGGCGAGAGACAGAAGGAAGTGTGAGGAGAGCAGACAAGAATTGCTGAGATAGAATTTTTCAGTGTGGGTCAAGATGACAACTCTAATACAAATCTAAGCTGACTTAAATAAAAGTTTTTAAATGTTGAGCTTATGGACTAAGATTTGCACCTGCTGAAAATTTATTTGTGTGATCATTTGTAATGATGTCTTCCCACTAGGCTGTAAGTTTCTGTGACTGTTTTTCTGACTGCTATATTCCCAACGCTTGGAACAGATTTTTTTTTTTTAAGTTTGTAAAGTGAACAGGTGTGAGCCACTGCACCCAGTCCCAAGCTCACGCCTGTAATCCTAGCACTTTGGGAGGCTGAGGTGGGCGGATCACCTGAGGTCAGGAGTTTGAGACCAGCCTGGCCAACTTGGTGAAACCTCATCTCTACTAACAATACAAAAATTAGCTGGATGCGGTGGTGGGCGCCTGTAGTCCCAGCTACTCAGGAGGCTGAGGCAGGAGAATCGCTTGAACCCAGGAGGTGAAGGTTGCAGTGAGACGAAATCGTGCCACTGCACTCCAGCCTGGTGACAGAGCGAGACTCCATCTCAAAAAAAAAGAAAAGAAAAGAAAAGAAAATCCCAGCCAAAAGGGCCATCAGGAGGACTAGGTGACCCCCAAAAAGCAGTCTATGCAGGACAGACTTCAAAAAGTCAGACCCCCTTCATAGGGGGATGCACCTGTACCAGGAAACAGTGGGAAAGAGACCTCCAGTAATGGGATTCTCTGACAATCCCACAGAACTGCTTCATGAGAAAAAGATTAGCTTTGGGACATCTGACACCCTCCAGAGATATCAGGTCACAAGTCAGGTGTTTTTTTTTTTTTTTGTTTTTGTTTTTGTTTTTGTTTTTTGGTGTGTTTTATTTGTTTGCTAACTCTGGTAAAGCCAGAGGAGACTTAGGGGATTGAGGATGGGGAAGGACGTAATTAAAGCATGATCATGATGTTTTTTCCACTGCAGCTTTCCCAGCCTGGATTGGATTCACTTGGGGAAGGGGAGAAACTTTGGATTGGATGAGAGACTAAATTTTATATATGAGACTGGTCTACACTTTTATTACCAGAAAAATGGCAGTATTCATTGGTAGCTGAAATGACTTGATAAAACCATGTGATCTACCCAGGACTTCATGCAGAAGTAGGGAAGAAGGTGTCAATAGAGCTTGCCTAAAGGCAATAGTGTGCAAGAATAAAGCTACTTTCTGCTCATATCCTTCTCAGTTGAGCTCAAAGAAGAGCCTGCACAGTTCCATGGGCTTCCTCCCACAATGATGCCAGGTTTGGACTCTGCATATCTATGGTGAGGTTCTTGCTTGGGTTCACAGCTTACCCTCACAGTCACATCCTGGGGAAAAACCAGGCACTGTAATGCTAGCCACCGTGTCCGGGTTGAAGTGACCCTAACTGCAGTGCCCAGAGTCACTGTCTGTCTTACCTCTTCAGGGCTAAGTCATTCTCTTCAGCCAATCAAATTCAGTAAGGACTTCTTACACTCATCTCCTAAGACAAGATGACCAGCTCCTTACAAACACAGAACTAAAAGAGACTCTCAACATGATCTAATTGACTTAATGTTGCAGAACTAAGGTGAGGCTGCCATATGACACTTTTCGGTATAAGACCTATTTTGAGTGACCTGTGATGTTCACTGTGGACATTTAAAGAATGTTTCTCAACGGGCACACTGTTTAATTTCTCCTTGAATAGGCTACCTGTTACACTCACAATTCATTTAAGCAGGAGAAAAAAATATGGATTTTAGTTGAGGGATGACAGTTTGAATAAATAAGAAGAGATAGCCTTAATAAAGAAAATAAATGGGATCTGGACAGGCTAGGAGGGGAGACAGGAGAGGGAGAAAAGAAGAGATCAAATCACTACTCTCTGACTGTGGAACTCATCCTCCCACTCCAGCTTACATCTGCTTAACTTTAGTTCACATAAAGTCATCATTTCTGAAACTGCTATTTTTTTCCTGTACTGATGTTGAAGAGGACAGTCTCCACCTGCTGCAACCCAACTTTACTCATGCCTTTCTCACACCTTTGCTGTGCTCAGGGGTCTGTACAATTTCTCTGCTCCAGGAACTGCATGAAAACAACAGGGGTGTGTAGCTTCATTACAGCTTTCCAGGGTTCATTAAATAAAAATAACCTAAATGAAGTTACATTAGGAAGCACTCACATTAAATATCAACTGCTAATGAGCAACTTTTAAGGACTGTCACCAGAAAAGCAGATCTTGTCACCCATTAGGAATTGTTTTTAAAACCAGCTAGGGAAGAAAAAAAAAAAAAAAAAACTGGTTTTCTCCAAGATTCAGGCTGCTTTCCAAAGGAATCGAGTGTCAAATGGTGCAATCAGTGTGTTGAAGAGTCTCAACTGTTGAGATTAGGGGGGAGAAAAACACATTTTTTTCCCTAATAGCTACTACCCAATAATACTAGGCCAAACCCATCCTTCCTCTTGAGTAGGCTGCATAACATTTTAGTCACTTTTGGTTTTCAAAAATGTCTTAGTTTAGATGTCCCAAAAATGTCTAAGAATCAGTTCTGTTCATTTTTAAAGTTCAATATCATATATGAGTCAAAGCACTTCCCCTACTCCATTCCCTCTCCAGCCCCATCTCAGGCTCACCTCATGATTGTGGTTCTAGCAGCTTGTGGTGGAGGATGGGACATGCCTGGCTCTCACATAACCCCTTCTACTCCCTGTCAGGTGGGAAAGAGGAAGAGAGAAAACAGATGTCTCCTTCCCCAACTGAGGGAGGCCTCAGCTCCCTTGTTGGGTGTTCAGGGCCACTTCTTTAGAGCGCTTTCTGTGGGATTCCTGTGGGCTGGTGGCCATTCAAACCTGCCCTGCTAATGGGGGGCCTGCTCCTCAGCAGCACCCCCTAGACCCCGGCAGCCATTTATGAGCTGTGACATTTTGGGACCCATCGTCCCATGTGGGATTCATCCTCTGCACCTCGAGGTAGAGAAGAAATTCTGACCTCTTTTGCCTGTCAGTCCCCTCACCCTGGCAATAACCTTCTGGGTTCTCTTTATTCCTGCTGTGGTAACACAGGCAGATTAACAGGCCCACTATTTAGGCAAGGACTCAACTGGAGACTAACACACAGGTCTCTCTTTCTTCCAGCCTTCTCTCTCATCTTTACAAAGGGTTCCTCCTCCTGGGGCCTTTCTCCCTTCCCTGCAGGAAAAGATGGCACTCCCTATTGTCCTCTACACAGGAAGGTCTTGATGGGAGAAAATAGAGTCAGTCTGTCAGATGCACTGCATCTCACTTACCAAAGGCAGCCTCCCCTGTCCTAGATCCATCCTTATATTAAGTATGAGGAGTGGGAGAAAAGCAAAGGCAGATGGAGGAGCAGAGAGGCCATGTTAGGCCAATTCTCTGAACTAGAATATTTTCAGTCAGCTATGTGGATAAATGGCTGCTGCCAATTTTGGCAGTTCTCTGGACCTAGAATATTGGTGTATGTGGACACTTCTTTTCCTAACTTTGAAATCCTGGGACAACAGAAATATTCTCACATGACATTCCTATACAATAGTTTCTATGGGCTATAAGTAGTTTTCTCAACAATTCCAGAAACACTGCAAATGTTAAGAATATTACATTCCAATACTCTTCCTTTTCTTGACTGAGAAATGTGGTGGTGGAGGAAGAAGTGGTTGGTGAGGCCATAATGTGTAGAAAATAAAGCCCAATAAACACAGAACTTACATACATACATGTTCACATACACACATCTGAGTTTCCATGTCAGGTACATTACATACTTGTGTTGGGAACATTAGGGAATAGATAAGATCCATTTATAAGGATTTACAAAAATTACAAAATTAAAAATTGTATAAAATTTCATGTAATTCAACAGGATTCTCACGGTGTATAATTTTTTTTTCCACTGGAAACCTTTCTTTCTATAACTGTATACTCTTATTTTGTAGTGATATTATTCTCACCCTCTGTTACCTTATATCATTCTTTTTCTTCTAATACATTTATTCAACCTTTATCAAGTATCAAAATGTCTTTTGACATTCTAGTTGCCTCCTACACAGACTGGAGGTGAATGATGGGTACCTTTCCACTATCTTTCTGCAGGCCCTGCGTGGATGAGTCTGGCATCTCTTTTTAGAAAGTGTGGGTACATTGCCTCTATCATCCTTAGCTTTGAGGCTTTAGCTGGAATTTGAAGGAAACAGCATATGTCCCATTTAACAGCCTATTATATTTGGAAAGGAGACTTGACAGTTCATTCCAAGAGTGAAGAATCATTTTACTTTCTGTTTCACTTGATCTTAGCTACCAGGTGTCCACAAGTCCTTCAGGATTTTCATATAATTTGCCTGAGAGAATTTTCCTTAGAGAATGTAGAAGATAAAGGGCTATACATGAAGGCTCAGTGTTACAGATTCCTATCTTTGCTGTATGTAACTAAATTGTTTTTGAGTGGATTATAGAGACTGGAGAAAGAGGTAAACCTATTACTTTTCTCCTTTGATGCTTTTTGACTAGTTTGAGCCTCCAAAAAATAAATTAGGATAAAGAGCAGCACAGGCTATGAAGATGATGTGCAGGTGCATTCATTTCTTTCCAAGTTAAAAATACAGTAGAGAAAGTAGGAAATGCAGTGAGCAAGGTACAGCTCCCTTTATTCCATTGACAAGCATTAAGCACGCATTTTATGTCGGGTACAGGGCTAGGCTTGCACTCTATTGACGAAATGAGGATTCAAATATTGTCTTCAAATTTATTCATTAAAATAGAAATATCATTCACTTTTACAGATGGCAAAATTTGCCATTGCTCCAAAGATACAGCTTTTCTACACTTCCTGGCAATCAATGGAAATCAGGATTTGAGCCATGTTGTGCAATAAAGTCTCCGAACATATTTGGCAAATTAGTATTCCTCGTCTGCACTTGCAGCTTATGAAGATTTTGAGCACAGCTTTAAGACAGCTCTGAAGTTGGGAAGAACTCTGGGGTGCTTTTACCTCATGGGCAGCCACACTGCCTCCACTCCACCTTGGAATCTTGCTTCCTTAGCCATCTGAACACAAGTTCTCTTGGTTCAGCCAGAGCCGGGATCAGGCCAGGAGGTTGGCTGGTGACACTGAAGATGGGAATATTTTCCACAAAGCTGAGAAGTGATGAAGGGCTTCTGGCTCAAGAAAATGTATGTTCACATTAAAAATTCAAAACTCTCCTGAATGCCACTTAGAGTTTTTAAATATTAGATTTATTTCCTCCTAATATACAGGGATGCTGGGAAACGACTGGATGACACAGGCTAGGACTGAACTTCAGGATGTAGAATGAAAGAAAAAAAATCTTAGCACTGCTAAGTTCTTATTTTATAAAAGAATTTAATAACCTCATAAAATAAACAAAGCTCATAAATATCTATTTTATTTGCACCTATGTCTCCCACTGTGATCAGCCATAACCGGATAGTAAATCCAACTGACAGGCAAAAAAAAAAAAAAACCATAAAAAATATTGAAGTAAAACGCTCATCTTTGTGTTGTTTTTTCTAGTCATATATTCAACATAGCTCTTCAGCCAAAGACTCCTTAAGGCAGATTTCTCTGACGCTTGTCAGTACTGCTTCTTTGATTGAGTGGTAATTAGTTCAACTTACAAATTGCAGTTATTTTACTAATGAATCTCAAATGGAATGAAACCAATCAGAAATTATTTACTGGGCATGACAATATGCAAAACAAATAATAAATATTAACTCATTTGTTAATCTATAGGATTACAATTATTACATATAAATATGTGTAATATGTGTGCATATGAATTTGATAATTGTTTTAATTGTATATAATTTATTAATAATTTTAATCATTACCAAAAAAAGTATGACAGGTTCTTACCCTTAAGAAGGTTAGCATCTGTTCCAAAAAAAGTCCTGTCTTTTTTTTTTGAGATGGAGTTTCACTCTTGTTGTCCAGGCTGGAGTACAATGGCTCGATCTCAGCTCACTGCAACCTCCACCTCCCAGGTTCAAGTGATTCTTCTGCCTCAGCCTCCCAAGTAGCTGGGATTACAGGCACCTGCCACCATGCTCAGCTAGTTTTTTTTGTACTTTTAGTAGAGATGGAGTTTCACTATTTGGGACAGGCTGGTCTCGAACACCTGACCTCAGGTGATCCACCTGCCTTGGCCTCCCAAAGTGCTGGGATTACAGGAGTGAGCCACTGTGCCCGGCCTAAAATGCCCATTTTTAATTGGCTACTTCTCACAAGACAAGGCAAATGGGTTGCCTGAGAAATAAAGATTTGTGTTTGAGTATTTATGACAAAAAGTCCATTTGGGAGCCAGGCTAATTCATAAGATATGTGAATGCACACTTTTTTTTTTTTTTTTTTTTTTGAGACGGAGTTTCGCTCTTGTTGCCCAGGCTGGAGTGCAATGGCATGATCTTGGCTCACCGCAACCTCAGCCTCCCAAGTAGCTGGTATTCCCAAGCAATTCTCCTGCCTCAGCCTCCCAAGTAGCTGGGATTACAGGCATGCACCACCACGCCTGGCTAATTTTGTATTTTTAGTAGAGACAGGGTTTCTCCATGTTGAGGCTAGTCTCGAACTCCTGACCTCAGGTGATCCGCCCACCTCGGCCTCCCAAAGTGCTGGGATTACAGGCATGAGCCACCACGCCCAGCCGTGAATGTACTCTTTAGCTTAATCTTTTCTTTTTTATTTTATTTTTTTTTTGAGACAGGGTTTCTCTCTTGTTGCCCAGGCTGGAGTGCAGTGACGTGATCTCAGCTCACTGCAACCTCCGCCTCCCCGGTTCAAGTGATTCTCCTGCCTCAGCCTTTCAAGTAGCTGGGATTACAGGCACGCACCACCACACCCAGCTAATTTTGTATTTTTAGTAGAGATGGGGTTTCACCATGTTGGTCAGGCTGGTCTCAAACTCCTGACCTCAGGTGATCCACCCGCCTTGGCCTCCCAAAGTGCTGGCATTACAGGCATAAGCCATCACGTCCAGCCTAGCTTAATCTTTTCTAAGATCAATACCATCTTTCTGGTGAACTTTGTCTCCAAGCACTGCAAAGCACTGCATCTAATTCAAAGATTCTATGTCTTTGGTGAAGAAGGCCAGCATTGTTGACCTAAGTCTGTAGTATCTGAGTTAGGAACAAGACCTAGTTTCCTCACGCCTGGATGTGAGGTTTATCTTTACATGAGAGCAAGGGACGTTTATGTAATCCTCATTAGTGCGGATGGCTGTTCTGACTCCAACAGCCAGTGCATCATTGCAAGAACAGTTGCTTTAATCTCTAAAGAAAACACCAAATAAAATGCATTTTTTTAAATCAAGGAAATAAGGTTCCGTCAATGCATATTGTCCAAGTGACAAAGGATTTCAGACAGCTACGTAATTAGCCTCTAATAGCAATATACATGAGAATGCAATTTACTTTTCATCATTCTTGTTCGGGTCATGAATTGAAATCACAGTAGGAGCACAAGGCTGTCAGGGATAAAGCAAAGGAAGAAAACAGGACTTGGCTGCTGGGAATATTCACACCCAGCCAAGAAAACATGCCAAATGAGGCTTAAAATGAACTTTTCCTGTGTGCATTTCACAAGTTCAGACCAAGAGGAAAAACAATTCTTCCCCTCCCCTACCCCCACTTTAATACTTTAACCATTGGGTGAAATATACCATAGTCACATGTATACTGTCTGATTGTGATCCTATACCCTGCACTAGGGGATCTGTCAAATATTCAGTGGACAAGTAGAAGAGAACTGAATTGGGAATCTGAAGACCAGAGACTTAGTTTTTGTTCTGTTACTGACCAGTGGTCGACCTTGGGAAAATTACAACCTCTCGGAGCTTCAGTTTTATCATCTGTTAAATGAAGATAATACGTGACCTGCCTATCTCATCCAGCTATTATAAATCATGTTTTCTCTTCATAGTCAAGCCTCTAGAAAAATTGAGTAGTCACAATCTTGACTTCTTGACCTTTCATTTACTCCCCAACCCAAAACTGACCCTCCACTGAAATGCTAAGACCACTGCTGTCAAATCTAACAAATTCTCAAATGCTTTTCAACCTTTCAATTAATCTCAGATTCTTTTGACAGTGTTAAATGTCACTGTTTTAAAACTTCCACCGCGATTGACTTTCATAACAGCATCCTCTCCATTCTCCTCTTTAATAATAGTGTTCTCCATGGCTTTGTCCTTGGCCTTTATTTTTTTTCACTATCACCATCTCTTCCATTATCTCATCCAGGCTATGGTTTCAACTACTTACCGTGAGTTGATGCTCCTATTTATCTACAGGATCACCCCTCTCCTGAGGTCCATTCTGCTCTTGGAAATATCCTCCAGAACTCCTTAGAGCTCTGAAAATTCAAAAACTCTAAAACCAATTCATTTGGTTCATCCCTCCTGACCACACTTCAAACCACTTCTCTTCCTGTGTTCCCTTCACCCATCCAAAATCTGGGACTCAACCTTGACCTGTTTTCAAAATTCTATCTCCAAAATATTTCTCAAATGTGTCTCTTACCTACTATTGCCACTATCTTGGTCCAGATCTTTTTCATCTCTTGACAGCATTGCAAATGCCTATAAACTAACCTCCCTTCTCTAATGTCAGGTCCTTCTGTGGCATCCTCCACATGGGTGTCAATGTGGGCTTTCTAAGCAACAATTTATCTCTCTTCCCTACCTTTAGATCTTTAATGATTCCCACTACACACAGATAAAATCCTAACTTTTGAATATAAAACAGATGTCCCTTTATGTACTGGGTCCTTCCCACCTTGCCAGTATCAGTTCTTGGATCTCCTTCATTGTCACCTTATTTACAGCCACCCCCAAATCCTTGTCATCTCCATTTGCTATATGAAAACTTGGTGATTTTGCACTGGGTTGCTCCTCTCTGGAATGTTTTCCCTTCTTTCCTGCTGATTGAAAAGATTATTCATCCATCAGGACTCAGCTCCCATGTATCCTTTCTTATTAAACAGCCCCTGACCTTCCTCCTGCTCCCATCTTCCTTAGGTAATTTAATTTCCTTCACAATAGCTTGTGCACACCTTTATTCTAACATGTCACCCCAGACTGCAGTTATCTCATTATCTGACCTTTTCTGAGGGTAGGAAAATCAAGTCTTGCCTGTATTTGTAATATAACGTGCATCACAACAAGGCTTCAGTAATTTCTAGATCTGACCCCTGCCATTTGCTTCAAATGATCAAGCATTCACCTAATCTCCCGGGTTTATTCAACCTATTATCTCCCTCCTAGATCCTCATCTCTCTGTCTAGCCTTCTTGAACCAATAATCCAATTGGATAATCTGCCCAGGTTTGATGTAGGTTAGTCCAAGGCAGCTGGCTGTGAATTCTCCTATTCAGCTCCATGTTCTGAGAGGGGGTTATGTCAGCTGGTCCCAGGTTCCTAGGAGGGCAGCCCAGGTACAGCACCATGAGCACCCATCTGTCAGGTGTGAGAGACACGAGAGAGAGACAGAGAGACTGGGAAAATTGGACTCATTATCTCATTTTCTAATAGCAACATTTTAGAAAATAACTATGTATTAAGAGGACAGGTACTCTACTGAAAAGCATCATTGCACTGCTGGAAGAATAGGAAACATTTATTGAATTGAAATAGCTGTAAGGAAAAAATAGCAAGATATGATTTAAGAAAAGAAATGAACAAAACTGCTCTCATCCTGCATTTCTGTTTTGTCTATTGTGATACAATTGAAGAAATGGGGATATTTGAAGTCGCATCAAACGCTCATCTATAATTCAGCTTTGCTAGAATGGAGCTGAAATGCACACGAAGGCAAGGGTCTAATTAAAACGCCAGACTATTTATTGTCTATTCTTAGCTTTGAAAGGCGATGAACGCTGTTACGGCATTGTGTAGACTATTGTGTTTAATGTGAAAGTCCAAAGGCCAAAAATTTAGATAGCTAACCAGGAAATGGAATGGAATAAATTATAAGAACACATTCACTGTATGCTTCCAGTCAACTTAAGGTTCAAGAGTCTCCAAACAAATATGCTGAAATGAAATGTGTAAATTTAAAACCATTGCATTTTCATTGTTAGAAACACAAACATAGGAGATTCTTTAGACTTTGTCCCTTAATAATAATATAGAATTAAGCATAAATCAGGTTTGTCATGAACTCAAAGGGAATTTATCCTTTGAGTTCATGACAAACCTGATTTATGCTTAATATAGTAATTACATCTAGATTATTGTCCTTCTGGATTACAGCTTTGAAGACTGCTGGAAAATGAAAATACTGACCAGTGATTTGCATCATAAGAAAAGGGTGGGTGTGACCATTTTCATTTTCAAATGAGAAGATCCTGAGATAATACAAGTTCTCTACAGATTCCACGTTGAAGGCTGTTAACAGGACTTACTTTTCTGTCCTCTAGAATTAGGAATTGTGTTCGTTCCTTACAACAGGGCCTCCAACTTCTTTTATATATAGCACAGAGAGCACCTGGTGTCTAGAGTCACAAGGATCTGAACCTGAATGTTAGCACTGCATGTCACCCACAGGACGATTGTGTTAACTGTGCCAAGTGTGGACTCCTCACCTCCAAGGGGTGCTATCTCCTAGTCGATGATATGATTGTACCCTCTGGAACTGGACAACATGCAGCCTTTGTGTGACTTGAATTGCTTATCCTCTCAAAGCCTCAGCTCCTTCAAGTGTAGAATAAGGGTGTTAATAATAACAGGGGCATTCAGAGTATCTACCTAGTTAAGTGATGGTGAAAATTAAGTGAGATAGTGTAACTGACCACAATCCCTGGTGGACTGAACAAAGGAAGATGAACGCGGGAATAAAAGACAAAGACAAAAGAGTATATTTGGAAGAAGGGGTAAAGGGGCACCTTGCCTCTAGTGGACAAGGGCCCTGAGCTTTTTCAGCCTTCCAAATTTATTAGGTAAAAGAGATAACGAGAAAGGGGAGGTGATTGTCAGGTAATTGTCACTCGGCCATTTGGTTCACAGCAGGCTTGTGAGACTGCATCCTTCAAACAATAGGCACTACATTTCCCATTAGATAACTTCAAGAAGCCCGGCGCCAGGGAGTGATGGCCCTCAGCAAACCTTCTGGCGGCAGGTGCAGTGTGACTTTGTTCACATCCTGCATTCATGATAAACAGTTTGCTGTTTGATCATATAGCTGCCAGTGGAATGCTGAGTTGGTCATGATCCCTTTGCTGGCTCTCTACAAGATAATGCATAAAAATATTTAGCATAGAACATGGCACAGAGGAAGTGCTTGCTAAACGTTAACAATTATGGGCCGGGTGCGGGGGCTAACGCCTGTAATCCCAGCACTTTAGGAGGCTGAGGTGGGTGGATCACCTGAGGTAAGGAGTTCGAGACCAGCCTGGCCAACATGGTGAAACCCCGTCTCTACTAAAAATACAAATATCAGCCAGGTGTGGTCGCGGGCACCTATAATCCCAGCTACTTGGGAGGCTGAGTAACCAGAATCGCTTGAACCCGGGAGGCGGACGTTGCAGTGAGCCGAGATTACGCCACTGCACTCCTGCCTGGGCAACAAGAGCGAGACTCCATCTCAAAAAAAAAAAATTATGATAACAGTGCCCCATTTTTCTGAAGGGTTAGTCTCAAACCGAGCCTTCTAAACCAAAACAGCATTGCAGCTTTTGTGCTTCTGCTGGCCACCATAATATTTATGTGCCCAGAGTATAGTATTTAAATTTGTTGTGTTGGAATTTTCCTTTGTCATATCATCATGTTAATAAACTTTGATAGCAATATGGGCTATAAATTTATAGGATTTATTTTATCTGGGTGAGAATAAGAGGTGAGGAGAAAAAGAAGAATAAAAGTCTTTCTAGAGATGTAGAGTCATCTTATTTTGGAAGGTTAAGATTAGATTAGTCTTAATTCACATTTTCACTGGGTGTTCACTTTGGACCATTTCTTTTACATAACGTACATTATTTCAAGTGTTTGATGTGTGTCTAGAGGGAGCTCATTTAAAACTATAAAGTTAAGACACTGATTGTCTAAGTATGAAGAAAAGTGGAAGCAAAGACTTAGCATGAGACAAATGAGGTAATGATTAAATTGGACTCCACACTGACACAGCTCATTCTGCTGAAGTTTCATAACAGATTTCCAGTTGGGTTCTTAGAAAAACTTTCTCTCTTAACTTCAGCCACTTAGGGAAATTGATTTGTGGGGTTCTGCCCCACCTCGTGAAAAAGCAGAATTATTTGAATGAAAATATGAACTTGTACTCAGAGTTCTATGGCAGGTGAGGAAGATTTTGTTAAATAACTTGATATTCTATGATTCTTTATAATGATAAAATGCTGCTTTATTAAGAATAAAACCACCTCTTTGTGAGACCACTGATAGAAGTGGGAACTCTTCAGTTCACTTACTGTGATGCACCTACTTATTTTCTGCCCTATCCGCTCCTCCATTCCACTTGTTTTACTTTATCATTTTCCCCAGTATAATAGAAAAGGCATCTAAATTAAAGGACTCTCAGTTTCAAAATAGAGAACTGGGCACATACTGCAAACTCCTTATATCCTCCACCAAAATAATGTATATGTGCATATCCATGCATGTCAAATGTCTACACACTTACACACCCTAAAGTAATGTGTATAATGAGGACACGCATAGCCATGCTGAGAAATTCTAGGCAGACCAGAAACTGTGGCCAATACCCGAGAGACTAAAAGTAGAGACTGGACTTATGAGAAAACAGTGTCTGGAATACACCTGGGATTCGTGTGAGAGTCCACCTGAGGGTCTGCCAAAGTGTGTGGGACCCCAAGCAAGGGAAAGTCAGAGCCAGAGATGATGAGACCTGAACAACGAGAATGCCACAGTGCACATGCAGGGAGACTAGCTGAGTTTCACAGAGAGGGTTTTCAAGTCTGCCACTCACTCTTCTCTCTTGCTTGAACACTTCTAGACCAAATATCATCCTCTCTCCTCAGTTTCCTACTGTTAGGCACACACTGACATTCACAACTCCTCTCCACCAAAGAGCACTCCTCCTCCAAATTGCAGTTCCAGGCCCATCTTCTCCAAGTTTACATGTATAAATCTCTGGCTGGTCAGGATCATCACCAATCCATACCTGCACCTTCCATCTGCCCACTCTTTCTTCATCTCTCCAAGAGTATTACTATCCCCCAATCTTTTCTTTGGGAGAAAATATAATAGATTTTTTAGCTTGTAAACTCTCCTTTAGTATACAATCAATGTCGTCAGCTGTACTATATACCACAAAATACAATACTTACAATAATAATACCATTGTATTAGAATATAATTTTCTAAGCACTTTGTTCTACGATATGTATTATACACACACCACCTTGATTGAGCACCATATAACGTAAGCATTATTATCTCCAGTTCACACATGAGGAAATTGAGGCTCAGAGAGGTGTGCTTTCCCAGATCTTATAGCTCGTCAAAGCTTGTGTGCTTAACGCTACATGAAACTGGTGATTGCACCCTCAAAGCCATTTTTCAGAATTTTTAAAATTTCATTTTAAAATTCTAATTTTAGAATTTCATATTGTGGTTCTATTTTATCCCATTTTTAGAATTTCCTATTACAGTTTCTATCAATATATATTAAATAGGAGGAAACATTAATGCAAATTATAACTGACAACATGTAACATTTTAAGCATTATTGGTCACCCCAAATATTCTATTTGTTCTCTTTCATGTAGTTACCACTTGGTACCCACTTACTTGTAAGGCTGACCAAATCACATAGATGGGAGGTAAAAAGAGCATCCTGCAGCTTTCACTCCACATGGAGTGTTTTCTTATTTGGGCTCTGCCTTCCTGGCATTAGTAGGTGCTGTTTTCATTCTCTGGTTTCTTCTGGTGGTGACCCCAGTGGGTATTAATCTTTAGAGAGAACCAACCAAACCAAAATTTACTCCAGGAATTTTCTAACAGAGTTAGTGAGAATGACTCTACTAGCATTTTTATCTTATACTTAATATTTTAAAAATCATTGAACATACACTTCCTAACATCCCAAATAAAAATGTCTGCCACCCTATTGAAATGATGACTCATGTGGCCCGTCTCTGTACCACACTGAGTTTGGCAAACACCACTCAATGGTCACTGTCTCTGATTCACCCTGTACATAAAGCTCAGTTCTTTAGATCCTAAGAAACTTTAGGCTGGAAACATCTCTCTGATGCTAAATCCTGTTCATCTGTGAACTTTGTCTAACCATAATGTAAAGTGATTTTCTTCAGTCTCTGACACATTACTTTCCATTTCTGGAAAACAGCCTATAGGTGATTCTAAAATTCAGTCTATCTGGCCATCACCATGTCCCCATGGGACCCAGTTCTGGCATGAGGGATTGGTCAGCCAAGGTCTGAGTTATCCAGATCTGGCTTTGGCTTCCTCTGAGGATTTGCAGAGGTCTAACCGCTTGAGAAACTGGGGATCTGTGGAACTGCAGTAAAACATAATTTTCATTGCACTATGTTGCAAAAGATTCCTTCAGAGTTTCTAAATTTAGTGAAGTTGCATAGCACCATATAAGTTTAGTTCTGCAGCTGGCACATCCACTCCCCATGAGACATCATTTACAACTCAGATTTCAGCACATCCACCAGGACATGTCTGGTGTTATCCCAGCTGCTATTGGAGCTTCTCTCCTTGCCACTATTATTGTAAAGTCTGGTAATAACGTACTCTTGACTCCAGTGACAAAGCAATGGTTTTATTCTAAAATTTCAGCTGAAAGCTGTGCTTTCCGTCCACAATTTTAGACAAATCCTCCAGGTGTAACCCTATTGAAGCTGTCATCTTTATGGTTCCTTCTCTGCACAGCATCATAAATTTAGCAAAGTTCATCAGAATGTTAACTGTTTTAAGACTCAACAGAGTCTTAAGAAAGGAGTTGCATGTTCTACTTTCATCTTTCAAAGGATGTAAAGAGGTTCTGATGCATAACCCCCATGAACACATCTTGAATCTCCTTTCCTCTCCTATTCAGCTTTCTCCCACACCCTCTTGTGCTTCTTATTCACCAACTCAAACCCCAAAGGGGGAGAAAAGCCCTCAAATTGATCCACTCCATTCTGGGAAACTTTTGACTTTTCCTATCTCCCTCATTTCTCCCAATCTATAACCTCCTCCTTCAGCATCTCTGGACACATCCTTTTCTGTGCATCTTCCAATTATATGTGACCAAAACACAGGAACTAGTTTGGCAGTAACATAAGGCAGGGGAAAGTCTGGCAAGCAAGATAACATTTTCTCATGTGGGCTGGGGGAAAGAGTCTATTAATACCACATTAATAATTTTATTCCATTATTTGTCTTTTAACTGGTGAAAGATGAAAAATTTAGCTGGTTCATTCCCTCCCTTTTCCATCCTCCCTCTCCACATTTCACAATTTTTCTTTTAAATATCTCAGATATTAATCTATATTATTTTATGTATTTTCTAGTTAGAGAATATTTAAGTCATAAGAGTTTCAAAGCCAAAACAGTTACTTAGACATAAACTTTCAGTGACTTTGTTGCTTAATAATACCTTTTTTTTTTTTTTTTTTTTTTTTGAGACAGAGTCTTGCTCTGCCACTCAGTCTTACTCTGCTACCCAGGCTGGAGTGCAATGGTCCGATCTCAGCTCACTGCAACCTCCACCTCCCGCGTTCAAGCGATTCTCCTGCCTCAGCCTCCAGAGTAGCTGAGATTACATGTGCACGCCACCACCCCCAGCTAATTTTTGTATTTTTAGCAGAGATGGGATTTCACCATGTTGGCCAGGCTGGTCTCGAACTCCTGACCTCAGGTGATCCACCTTCCTCAGCCTCCCAAAGTCCTGGGATTGCATCCGTGAGCCACTGCACCCAGCCACTTCTTTTCTATTATATATTTCATTGTTTATTTTTGGTGCATTTCCTTTTTAACCTAAAAAATTGGGGGAGTAATTTTTTCATGAAAGTATATGAGTGAAGTAGTTAAAAGCTGTGCATGTGTGAAAATTATTTGTGAAGTCTTCTTTGAGTTCAGAAATTATTAAGTCAATAATTTTCCCTCAAAAATCTGCAGCCATTGTTTCCATTTTCTAACTGTTAATATTGTGGAGAAATCAGATGCCTACATGATTTTTCTTCTTGTGTTGATAACATACTTTCCTCAGGATGGATATGAGACTTTTTTTCTTCTTAAAATTTGAAATTCAACAGTGTCAACTATGAGCTAATACTCATTAATTTTACCTCAAATGCGGCGAGCTGCTTTGACCTGATAATCTATCCTCAGTTCAGGGAGCCTGTGTCACTATTTAACTGATTGTTCCTTCTCCTCCATCTGCCTCAGTCTTTTCTTCTGGAATTTCTAACCTGTAATTCCATATTGATTTTCTTTTCATCATTCTTACCCATATTACTCTAAGTTGTGGGAGCATTTCTGGAGCTTGTCTGGATTTGCTGGGGTTTGGGTTTTCTGAAGTATCCAGAATGATGTTCACACCCAAAAAGATGATGGCATCTGTGGCAGACTCTGTCCGTTGATGAACACAACCCCGTTCCAAACTCCTTCACTCTCACCCAACTCCACCAGAGAGGCTTTCCCAACCTCCCTTACAGCTAGTGGTTGTGGCCTCGTGACACCACCCTGATAAGTAAGATGCAAACACACAGAGGTCTCGGTAGGGTAGGGGGTGGTTCTAGAAAACTTGAACTTTCTTGACAAAAGCACATACGTGATTGACACCAACTCTTCCCACTTATTCCTGCTTTTGATGAAGACCTGATGCCTGGAAAGGCAGAAAACATTTTGTGATCAAGACGGAAGGCTAAAAGAATCGCAGAGAGGCTGGCCTTACCATAATGCAGTCAGCATACCAACACAAACAGTTGCCTATACTTCTTGTTATGTTAGATAATTAAAAATCTTTATTTCACTCTTAGGTAGTCTTCTGCTTGCAACTGAAAGCATTCCAACCATTTTAGTGTTTCTCCCTTAAGAAGAGAAAACATAATTCTACATCTTATGAAATCTGATACGCTCTTCTCTTCACTTTGAACCACTGGCTGTGGGGATGATGGGCTCATGGTATCAGTAATAACACAGATTTCACTGGAACTTTCCACAGCAGGGTCATGCAGGACTTTGCTCCCACAAAGTCTCACCTGGTTATATCTCAGATACTCATAGTCGATCCTGTCACCTCTACTACTCTTGTTCCTGGGTTCATGTCCACTACCTGTGAAGCCACAGAGTGTTTCACCATTGCTACAGTATGGGTGCCTTCCATAAGAATACTGATATCCATTCCAAGGAAATTTCTTCTCATCTCCTAAATCTGCCAGCTCTGAAGGTGTTAGATTGTTCTTCACAGAAAAGGGAAAGATAACAGTAGTAACTACAAGTTACTGAGCACTTACTATGATCAAGCTTTAATGATTTACAGGGTACCCTGTTTGTATCCCACATCAATCCTAGTGATATACGTTACTTTCATTTTAAAAAATAGGCTAAGTGACTTGTCCACAATCACAAAGCTAGTCATAAAATCTAAAATCAAATTTAAATTTGACTTCACCACCTCTAGCTTCTTCGCACTGCTGCACTGTTACCCAGGAATTTAAGGAAAATGAAATGTTAAATTGGGAGTTTCCACTGAGGCTCCATCATAAAATACATAAAACTCTAAAGTAAAGTACGAGTTGTGTACTTTGAAAGAAAGTTAGACAACTCTAAGGACACATCAAGGATATAAAAGAATCAAGGCAGTGGAAAGTCAGAGAGGATTCGTAAAAATATTTATTTGGAGAAAGCCACTGAGTGCTGTGAGAACCACCCGTTCCCCAAACGGAAAGGGCAAAAGCCCAACTCTACCTCTTTCACCTCTAGCCTGTAGAGAACTTTCAGTGAGACCAGCAGGGAACCTCCAGAGTGCCATGAGAACAGCCACAGGATGGTCCACTTTCAACATCTGCTGGACCCAGAGAGACTAAGGTCATCTGAAGACCTATTCAATGACACTCTCTCGCCTCTTTTCTGCATTTCCACTCCAAGTTGTAATTCCCTCTGGAGCAGTCAGAAATATGGGTAGCTAGTGGAAAGAGGTAGGGCAATGAAAAAGAAAAAAGTCAACCACACCCTCTTCCAGAGAGGGTAGGGAACTGCCCACTATAGGCTCTAACCGAAGAATTGGAAGGGAACAGAAGTATTTACCTCGGAATGAAGCATTTCCTAATATATTGGACTGAACATTTATTTATTTTTATTGTACTTTAAGTTTTAGGGTACATATGCACAACGTGCAGGTTTGTTACATATGTATACATGTGCCATGTTGGTGTGCTGCACCCATTAACTCATCATTTACATTAGGTATATCCCCTAATGCTATCCCTACCCCCTACCCCCACCCCACAAGAGGCCCCGGTGTGTGATGTTCCCCTTCTGTGTCCAAGTGTTCTCATTGTTCAATTCCCACCTATGAGTGAGAACACGCGGAGTTTGGTTTTTTGTCCTTGCGATAGTTTGCTGAGAATGATGGTTTCCAGCTTCATCCATGTCCCTACAAACGACATGAACTCATCATTTTTTATGGCTGCATAGTATTCCATGGTGTATATGTGCCACATTTTCTTAATCCACTCTATCATTGTTGGACATTTGGGGTGGTTCCAAGTCTTTGCTATTGTGAATAGTGCTGCAGTAAACACATGTGTGCATGTGTCTTTATAGCAGCATGATTTACAATCCTTTGGGTATACACCCAGTAATGGGATGGCTGGGTCAAATGGTATTTCTAGTTCTAGATCCTTGAGGAATCACCACACTGACTTCCACAATGGTTGAACTAGTTTACAGTCCTACCAACAGTGTAAAAGTGTTCCTATCTCTCCACATCCTCTCCAGCACCTGTTGTTTCCTGACTTTTTAATGATCGCCATTCTAACTGGTGTGAGATGGTATCTCATTGTGGTTTTGATTTGAATTTCTCTGATGGCCAGTGATGATGAGCATTTTTTCATGTATCTTTTGGCTGCATAAATGTCTTCTTTTGAGAAGTGTCTGTTCATATCCTTCGCCCACTTGTTGATGGGGTTGTTTGTTTTTTTTCTTGTAAATTTGTTTGAGTTCTTTGTAGATTCTGGATATTAGCCCTTTGTCAGATGAGTAGACTGCAAAAATGTTTTCCCATACTGTAGGTTGCCTGTTGACTCTGATGGTAGTTTCTTTTGCTCTGCAGAAGCTCTTTAGTTTAATTAGATCCCATTTGTCAACTTTGGCTTTTGTTGCCATTGCTTTTGGTGTTTTAGTCATGAAGTCCTTGTCCATGCCTATGTCCTGAATAGTATTGCCTAGGTTTTCTTCTAGGGTTTTTATGGTTTTAGGTCTAATATTTAAGTCTTTAATCCATCTTGAATTAATTTTTGTATAAGGTGTAAGGAAGGGATTCAGTTTCAGCTTTCTACATATGGCTAGCCAGTTTTCCCAGCACCATTTATTAAATAGGGAATCCTTTCCCCATTTCTTGTTTTTGTCAGGTTTGTCAAAGATCAGATGGTTGTAGATGTGTGGCATTATTTCTGAGGGCTCTGTTCTGTTCCATCGGTCTATATCTCTGTTTTGGTACCAGTACCATGCTGTTTTGGTTACTGTAGCCTTGTAGTATAGTTTGAAGTCAGGTAGTGTGATGCCTCCAGCTTTGTTCTTTTGGCTTAGGATTGACTTGGCAATGCAGGTTCTCTTTTGGTTCCATATGAACTTCAAAATAGTTTTTTCCAATTCTGTGAAGAAAGTCATTGGTAGCCTGATGGGGATGACATTGAATCTATAAATTACCTTGGGCAGTATGGCGATTTTCACGATATTGATTCTTCCTACCCATGAGCATGGAATGTTCTTCCATTTGTTTGTATCCTCTTATTTCATTGAGCAGTGATTTGTAGTTCTCCTTGAAGAGGTCCTTCACATCCCTTGTAAGTTGGATTCCTAGGTATTTAATTCTCTTTGAAGCAATTGTGAATGGGAGTTCACTCATGATTTGGCTCTCTGTTTGTCTGTCACTGGTGTATAAGAATGCTTTTGATTTTTGCACATTGATTTTGTATCCTGAGACTTTCCTGAATTTGAGACTGAACATTTTATTAATCACTTACTGAATCACGGCAACTTAGAGTTACCCACTATTAGGTAACAGTAATAGTAATCAGAAAAGCTATGAGCTGCCAAGTTTCATCCAGGGCATGGGAAAACATTTCCTTCATTGCATAATTTTAAGAAACCAACATAGACAAAATAAATTGCATTCAGCTGTGTTATCAGCATATCAAGAAACAACATATTGGTGTCTACATCTCCTTCTGAACCCCTAGGAAAAAAAACCCAGATTTTTCAGCTTTTACCCAGGACTTCATTCCTCTACGGAGTTTAAACAAAGTCTATGGGAACCAAGACAGCCTGCAGCCCTTTCCATACTTCATCTGTAACTCATTCACCCCCTAATAATCCCTCAGTGTATAACCAAAACCTCAAAACCCTCAGGCAATTAATAGATACAGATTGATATTCCATGGGCCTTCTTACCCATTCAGCAAATGCACATGGTCATGTTGTAATCTCTGATGTCTCAGGGTAATATCCCTGCTACACTAGCAGTTAATCCAGTTGTTCACTACAGGGACAGTACCACCCTCTAGGGGAAATTCTGGAAATGTGTGGGGGCAGTCTAATAGTGTAGTTGTGCCCGAGAATTAGACTATTGAAGAATATTATCTTTTCTTCTCTTGTATGTTACAGTGAGGGCATTATATTGACTCTTTGAATTATATCTGTAAGTAGGTTATATTATCAATGACTTTCATCCAGTTTAAAAATATGACATTTAAAAATATCTCTTGCCCAGGCATGGTGGCTCATGGCTGTGATGCTAGCACTTTGGGAGGCCAAGGCAGGAAGATGGCTTGAGCTCAAGAGTTCTAGGCCAGCCTGGGCAACATAGAGAGACCCCTATCTCTACCAAAAAAAAAAAAAAATAGCCGGGTATGGTGGTGTGCACCTGTAGTACCAGCTACTTGGGAGGCTGAGATGGGAGGATTGCTTGAGCCAGGAGATCAAGGCTGCAGTGAGCCATGATCGTGCCATTACACTCCACCCTGGATACAGAGTGAAACTGTTTCAAAAAATATATATATATATACATGTGTATATATATATATGTATATATATACATGTGTGTATATATATGTATATATACGTGTGTGTATATATGTATATATACGTGTGTGTATATGTGTATATATACGTGTGTGTATATGTGTATATATATACGTGTGTGTATATATGTATATATATACGTGTGTGTATATATGTATATATACATGTGTGTGTATATATGTATATATATACATATATATGTCTTATTAAAATGAGAATTAAGCATATGATTAATAACAACCAAATTCACACTACTTTATGTTGTGTACTCAATCTCATTTTCTCTGGTTTGTATATGCATTTTGCAAATTTTTTATTTGGAAAAATTTTACACATTCATAAGTGTCAGAAGAATAATACATTGAACATCTGTTTGCTGTTCCCCTAAATTTGCCAGTTTTAGCATTTCATCTCATTTGTTTTATCTTTATATATATAGATATACATATTTTCTTCTCTCTCTCTCAACCATTTGAGAGTTACTTGCAGACTTTGACACTTCAACCCTAAATACTTCAGCATGTGTCTCCAAAGGAAAAAAGTATTATCTTACATACCTACCTAACCACAATACAATGATCACACTCAGGAAATTTAACACTGATTTTTTTTTTTAAACCTAGTATCTAAGATAAAGTCCATGTTCAAATTTTCCCAACTGTTTCAATAATGTACTTTTTATAGCTTTTTTGTTTTCTTTTTCTTATCTAAGAATTAATCCAAAGTCACACATTGAATTGAGTTGTCATATTTCTTTAGTTTTCCCTAATCGAATCAGTTCACCAGCCCTTTGTGTCTTTTATGTCAATGACATTTTTGAAGAGTAAGGGCTACCTGTTTTACACTATGTCTTACAATGTGCATTGTTTTCTGATGAGTAGATTCCATTTTTTTAAAATTCCAGAATATTATATAGGTGATGTTGTGAGCTTCTCATGTATCACATTCAAAGGCAAAAAAGGATATTTTATCTCATCCTGTTGGAAATGCTAAGTTTGATCATTTTGTTAAGGAAACACCTATCAGATATTTCCCTTGACAAGTTACTGGTTTGTATAGCAATACACCGGTTATGTTTTACAAAAATTGTAAATCCTAGTGATACTCTTCTAGAGAGGGGAACTGAATGCTCAGCACAAAAAGTGCAGGTAATCCCACTCTTATCTGCTTTTTACCTGATGTTATAAAGATTTCAGAAGATCAACCCTTAAGATGTTGCTAGGGCCAGGTGCAGCGGCTTATACCTGTAATCCCAGCACTTTGAGAGGCCCAGGCAGGGGCATCGCTTGAGCCCAGGCGTTTTGAGACCAGCCTGAGCAACACAGCAAGACCTCATATCTACAAAAAAAATTTTTTTTTTAAATATTAGCCAGGTGTGGTTGGCCTGTGCCTGTAGTCCCAGCTACTCAGGAGACAGAGGTGGGAGGATTGCATGATTGTGTTCAATTATCATAATTTAAAAGGCAGAATATTGGTTCTAAAAGGGGAGATGTATAAGTAATTATGGTAGATAAAACTTAAATAAGCACAAATATTTATTCCATGTTTTTCTTTCACTGAATAAACTTGACTATCACAAATTGCATTAAATATAGCCATGTTTATATTAATAAATATGAATGCTTATTAATATAAATGACTGCTTATATTAATAATATGAATGTTTATTAATATAATCATGGCTATATTTTGTATTTATATATGTCTAGCTCCTTTGGGACCCAGGCACATTTTGAGTTCAAGTGCCAGATAAATAAGTAGTGAGGTTTGCTATTCATATCTTATGCCTTACTGGGGGCAGGTCTTTGAATTCAAAGAATACCTCATAATATTAAATTACAGTAAACCCCTTGAGAAAAAATAGTCTTCATCTTCTAATAGCATACCATGGGGCATTCAAATTCCTTCATCTTGATTTGCCAGTGGCCCATTTGGTTTTCATTTAGAGTATTTGAGATGAAATTTAGACCGTAAAGAGTTTAAAATATTAAGGTCTAAAAACATGGGCAGTTTATTTCCTACTTACAAGAAAATTAAGATCCTTTGAGTATTATGAACACCTTGTATAGCTGTATAGGCATTCTCAAAAATTATGCCAGCTAATAATTTAATACATCTCAAGGATGCCTGTTCCACATTCCCTTGAGTTACATTCAAAAGAAAAGCAGATGATTAATTTGTTAAATTCAAGTAAGCAAGAAATTCTAGTAGATATTTGAAAAATTCCTTCTCTTCAGTGAAACTCAAACTGCATATTAAGGAGAATGCATAGATACAATAGCTCAGGGCCAGGCGCGGTGGCTCACGCTTGTAATCCCAGCACTTTGGGAGGCCGAGGCGGGTGGATCACGAGGTCAGGAGATGGAGACCATCCTGGCTAACGCAGTGAAAACCCGTCTCTACTAAAAATACAAAAAATTAGCCGGGCGCGGTAGCAGGCGCCTGTAGTCCCAGCTACTCGGCAGGCTGAGGCAGGAGAATGGCGTGAACCCGGGAGGCGGAGCTTGCAGTGAGCCGAGATAGCGCCACTGCACTCCAGCCTGGGCGAAGGAGCGAGACTCCGCCTCAAAAAAAAAAACAATAGCTCAGACTCAAACCTTGACCTAAATAAGATTTTGTGTCCAGTAAAACTCCACTTACCAATGCAATTTGGAATTCTACCAAATTATCACTATATAAAATCGGGTCTGCTATAAAGAAGCCAAATAGGTAACATTTGTAAAGAGAGAACCAATAGTAACAACCTTGTCTTTGTTGGTCTGTGCACTGGATACACGTTATCTAATGTAATTTCAATAGCTTTCTGAGATCTTACTTGCTATACCTCCACTCTCCACTATCATTAAACTTGACACATCTTCAAGCAAAGTTCTATCATCTTTGTGTACCATTCCCAGAGCCTTGCACTGTGCCTGCCTCATAATACATACACGAGGGCATTTAAATAACGTACATAAAGCCACATAATTATGAATATATTACTACACCACTCCATACTCAATGTTCTTTACGTTATACCACGATGTTTCCAAATAGGACTTCATAGATTAGTGGAAAAATCAAATAAATTAAAGTGAGTTGCGACAATGCTTTCATTTAAAAGCCTAAAATAAATCCAACTCTATTCAGTGGTTGATTTGTATACAGCATCCAGTGGGCAGTCTGACATCGAGTTGAACTAAATGATAGTAATTGTAATGAAATATGATCATTGTGTAAATGATGAACAACACCTTAATATTCAGTACATATAAAAAACTGATAGAAAGGTTGGCATGTCTTACTATCATTAAAATATGTTTTAATGGAGACTTCCAATTTGAAAGGCAAGATTGATGGAAAATATTAACTATGCAATAAATTCTGTAACTGCATATTTCATAGAGATAAATCCTAGATGATGATTCTGAAGTTGACAGATACCAATAAATCATGAAAAAATATCCTTTTTACTAGCAGAGATTATGATATATGAAAGTTACTGCTAAAAGATTCCAGTTTTATCAATTTTTATAAAGATGTTTAAAAGACCAAGAACTTCTAAGAATGTTTAACTCAGGGAAGAGATCAACTTTTTCTTTCCAAAAGCTGACTCTACAGTTTAGTTTAGGTCAATAGTTCATGGATTCTTTCTCAAGCATTATAAACTGGCCCATTTTAATAATACAAAATACAAATGATAAAAGAAAGTAATGTAAGAGATTTCATTTCATTTAATTGCTACTCCTTAAGAAAACCATACGGGCCAGGCACAGTGGCTCATGCCTGTGATCCCAGCACTTTGGGAGGCCAAGGCGGGCAGATCATGAGGTCAGGAGATAGAGACCATCCTGGCTAACTTGGTGAAACTCATCTCTACTAAAAATACAAAAATTAGCCGGGCGTGATGGCACGTGCCTGTAGTCCCAGCTACTCAGGAGGCTGAGGCAGGAGAATCGCTTGAATCCGGGAGGTGGAGGCTGCAGTGAGTGGAGATCAAGCCACTGCACTGCAGCCTGGAGACAGACAAGACTGTCTCAAAAAAAGAAAAAAAAGAAAAAGAAAAGAAAACCATACGAAGAAGCCTGCTCCAATTTCTCCCTACCTGGACAGAGAAAATTTTGCATTTATCAGAGAAAATGCACAGATAAGTATCTCTGAAAAAGTGCTGTAACTCTTTTCTTTTCTTTTTCTTTTCTAGGCAGGGTCTCGGTCTGTTGCCCAGGCTGGAGTACCATGGCGCAACCACAGCTCACTGCAGCCTTGACTTCCTGGGCTTAAGTAGTCCTCCTACCTTGGCCTCCTGAGTAGCCAGGACTACAGGGTGCATCATCAAGCCCAGGTAATTCTTTTTTTCTTTTTTTTGTAGACATGAGATCTCACTATGTTGCCCAGGCTTCTTTTTTATTACTTTAGTAACATTGTTCCTTCATTTTTTTTTTTTTTTTTTTTTTGGAGACAGAGTCTGTCTCTGTCGCCTAGGCTGGAGTGCAGTGGCCCTATCTCAGCTCACCGCAACCTCTGCCTCCCGGGTTTAAGTGATTCTTGTGCCTCAGCCGCCCCAGTAGCAGGGATTACAGGCTCGTGCCACCATGCCTGGCTAATTTTTTTGTATTTTTAGTAGAGACAGGGTTTCACCATGTTGTCCAGGCTGTTCTCCAACTCCTGAGCTTAGACAATCCACCCGCCTCAGCCCCCAAAATGCTGGGATTACAGGTATGAGCCACCACACCCAGCAATTGCTTTTTCATCTTTACATTGGCAAGTCTGTGGAATGTTTGATAAATATTGCAACACTTATTCTGGCCTTTATTTCATTATAACAATGTGACTACAAGACCTTCTAAATGACCTTCTTGAATTTTACATACTTCCTTCCAGATTAATTTCCTAACACACTACTTCAAGTAGACAATATCTTTTAAAAAAAAGTCTGCACTAATGCCACAATATTGATAGGAATAAGCCATAATTACTTAGACTTCTGAGACTTTTAAAAATTTGCCCCAACTATTTCAAGATATTCTTATCTCCTGAAAATCCTTCAAATGACTTTTGTACATACTTTACTTGTTGTTCACTAAACGTGCCTTGTATATAGTCTACCTTTGCACTTTTTCTCACACTGTTTCACCCAACCAGTACATCATACCCAGCAACTCTCTGTCTGGTCTAATCCTATTCATTGACTCATTTGAAGTTCCAATTTTCCAATGAGTGAAGTTTTGAACTACCTCTCATTCCCCTGAGATCCTTTTGACATGGTATGCAAGTTATTTAGCTGTTTTAAAATAGTAAATAAATATTTTAACGTGATTAAGTTTTTCATAGTTGAACTTCCTAAAACTTTAATCTCCTTGAAGATAAAAAGTCCATTTTCTTCACATTTCCACTCTTGCCCACACAGTTTGTTGCTTATAATGGGTACTAAGTAAATATTTGCTAAGTTGACTTTACTCTTAATTAATAAACTATAGCAAATAGAAGTAAGCCCAATTGCAAAGACCAAACCATTAACTTTCTTTCTTAGCTCCAGTATTCACAGAAAACTTTTGCATAAATTTGGTGACTGTCATTTTAAATTGAGATGAATAATCTTTGTGTAAGATATAAGTAATTTCTGGACTCCAAAACTGTATTATTCTCCCATTCTCCCTATGGAACCTAATACATTTGTGTATTTGTTGGTTGTATGAGTGAAATATCCTTTATGACAGCAAATATATCTTATTTATCATTTCATTCTCCAATGCTTCTTTCCATGTAAGAAACAATAATTTCTGCATGAATGAGTAATTTTTTATAGACAAGCCATTAAAACCAAGAGAACACAAAGAATACTACAAAATTGAGGTTTTATAACATTCCAATAAATGTTTCCCTTATGTTTGAAGATGCAAGATTATATTCAGGAGTACAAAAGTATTTGCAAACTATTATCTATATTATATGAGGGGGAAAAGACAGACAAAAAAATACAACCAAATTTTAAACTTTGTTGTTATAGGGAAATGTCCTATAATTGAATGCATAGTGTATGCAAGGCTCATTTCCTAAATTTAATTTACATTACAACTGTATAATTACCATGGCTGTTTTCTAGATAAGAATATCAGGCCCAGAAGAGAAACTTACTCTGGACCACTGAGCTGACTGGCTTAAGTCCTTGCTTGCTGACTCCTCAAATACAGATGCTCCTTGATTTATGATGGGGTTACATCTCAATAAACCCATTGTAATTTTAGTATATCAGTAAGTGGAAAATGAACTTAATACATTGAATTTACCAAACATCATAGCTTAGCCTAGCCTACATTAAATGTGCTCAGAACACTTACATTAGCCAACAGTTGGGCAAAATCATCCAACACAAAGCCTATTTTATTTTTTGTTTGTTGTTTTTGTTGTTTTGAGATGGAGTTTCACTCTTGTCATCCAGGCTGGAGTGCAATGGCACGATCTCAACTCACTGCAACCTCTGTCTCCTGGATTCAAGCAATTCTCCTGCCTCAGCCTCCCCAATAGCAGGGATTACAGGCACGTGCCACCCACGACCAGCTAATTTTTGTATTTTTAGTAGAGATTGGGTTTCACCATGTCGGCCATGCTGGTCTCAAATTCCTCACTTCAGGTGATCTGCCTGTGTCGGCCTCTCTAAGTGCTGGGATTACAGGTGTGAGCCACTGCGCCTGGCCCATAAAGCCTATTTCATAATGAAGTGTTAAACATCTCATGTAATTTATTGATGTCCTACTGAATGCATATTACTTTTATACCATCATAAAGTTGAAAAATTATAAGTCGAACCATTATAAATTGGGGAGTCTATACTTTTCAGTATATCTTAGGTGCCTCTGAGTTTGCTTTGTGAAAAATGTGTATTCTTCCTTAGTGATTATACAGTAAAACATGAGAAACACTGAATAACTTATAAACTACAGAAAGGTATAATATAATCTATAATTCATCACATAGAGATAAACGCTGTTGAAGTTGTGCTGCCTTCCCTTCTGATCTTTCTGATTATATACATAGAGACCAAAATTAGTATTATATTGTACACTGTACATAACTGTATTCTGTATTTTTTCAATTTAAAAAAATTTTTTGATACATTATGTTTGTATATATTTATGGGGTACTTGTGAAATTTTGTTGCATGCATAGAATGTGTGATGATCAAGTCAGGCTCTTTAGGGTATCTGTCACCCAAGTGTTTGTCACTTTTACATGTTGGGTACATTTCAAGTCCTCTCTTTTGGTTGCTTTGAAATATACAATATATTGTTGTTAACTATAGTCACCCTACTCTGCTATTGAACATTAGAACTTATTTCTTCTATCTAACTATATGTTTGTACCCATTAACCAAACTATGTTTGTAGATCACCGTCTACCTCCACGTGATCAACTTTTTAGCTCCCACATGATAATATGCAATATGTCTGTGCCTGCTGATTTCACTTAACATAATATCCTCCCGTTCCATCCATGTTGCTATAAATGATGATTTTATTCTTTTTTATGGTCGAATAGTATTCCATTGTGTATATATACCATATTTTCTTTATCCACTCATTCACTGAGAGACATTTGGGCTGATTCCATATCTTTTCTGTAGTGAATAGTGCTGCAATAAACATGAGACTGCATGTATCCCTTTGACATGCAGTTTATTTTGCTTTAGATAATACCAAGTAGTGGAATTGCTGGGTACATGGTAGTTCTATTTTTAGTTTTTTGAGAAATCTTCATACTGTTTTCCATAGAGGCTGTACTAATCTACATTCCCACCTACAGTGTATAAGATTTCCCATTTCTCAACATCCTCACCAACATTTGTTATTTTTGTCTTTTTAGTAATAGCTATTCTAACTGGGATAAGAGGATATCTCATTGTGGTTTCGATTTGCATTTCCCTGATGATTGGTGATGTTGAGCATTTTTTCACACAACTGTAGGCCACCTGTATGTCTACTTTTGAGATCTGTCTATTCATGTCCTTACCCCATTTTTAATGGGATTATTTGGGTTTTCTTTTCTTTTTCCTGTTGAGTTGTTTGAGTTTCTTGTATATTCTGGATATGAGTCCCCTGTGAAATTAGTAGGCAAATATTCTCTCTTATTCAACAGGCTGTCTCTTCATTCTACTGATTGTTTCTTTTGCTGTGGAGAGCTTTTTAATTTAATATAGTCCCACTTGTCTATTTTTGGTTTTCTTGCCTGTGATTTTGAGATCTTAGCCATAAAATCTTTGTCTAGACCTATGTCCTGAAGAGTTTTTCCTATGTTATTTTCTAGTAGGTTTATAGTTTTGGGTCTTATGTTTAAGCTTTTAAACCATCTTGAGTTGATTTTCATATACAGAGAGAGATAGGGGTCCTGTTTCATTCTTCTACACATGGTTATCCAGTTTTCCCAGCACCATTTTATTATAAAGGGTGTCCTTTCCCCAACGTATGTACTTGATGGCTTTGTCAAAGGTCAGTTGGCTGTAAATGTGTGGATTTATTCCCCGGTTCTCTATTCTGTTTCATTAGTCTATTTGTCTCTTTTTTTATACCAATACAATGCTGTTTTGGTTACTATAGAGCCTTGTAATATATTTTAAAGTCAGGTAGTGTGATCCCTCTAGCTCTGTTCTTTTTGCTCAGGATTTCTTTGGCTATTCTGGCTCTTTTTTAGTTCCATACACATTTTAGGAATTTTAAATTTTTTTTAATTTTTATTTTTTTGTTTTTGTTTGAGATGGCGACTCACTCTGCCGCCCAGCCTGGAGTGCAGTGGTGGGATCTTGGCTCACTGTAACCTCTGCCTCTCAGGTTCCAGTGATTCTCCTGCTTCAGCCTCCCCAGTAGCTGTGATGACAGGCGCCTGCCATGACACCTGGCTAATTTTTGTATTTTTAGTAGAGATGGGGCTTCACCATGTTAGCCAGGCTGATCTTGAACTCCTGACCTCAGGCAATCGACTTGCCTTGGCCTCCCAAAGTGCTGGGACTACAGGGGTGAGCCACTGCACCTGGCCAGGAATTTTTTTATTTTTGTGAAAAATGATGTTGGTATTTTGATAGGGATCACACTGTAGATCACTTTGGGCAGTATGGTCATTTTAACAACAATAATTATTCTGATGCATGAGCATAGGATGTCTTTCCATTTGTTTGTGTCCTCTTCAATTTCTTTCATCAGTGTTTTGTAGTATTCCTTGTAGAGCTCTTTTGCTTCCTTGGATAAATTTATTTCTAGGTATTTTTATTTTTTTGTAGCTATTGTAAATGTGATTGCCTTCTTGATTTCTTTTTCAGCTATGTCATTATTGGTGTTCAGAAACAATACTGATTGATTTTTGTATGTTAATTTTGTATACTGCAACTTTACTTAACTTGTTTTTCAGTTCTAAGATGTTTTAGTGAAGTCTTTTGGTTTTTCTAAATATAAGATTACATCATCTGCAAAGAGTGATAATATGACTTTCTTTTTTCCAATTTGGATGTCTTTTACTTCTTTCTCTTGCCTGATTACTCTGGCTAGGACTTCTATTACTTTGTTGAAGAGGAGTGGTGAAAGTAGGCATCCTGACTTATTCCAGTTCTTAGAGAAAAGGCTTTCAACTTTTCCCCATTCAGTATGATGTTAGCTGTGGGTTTGTCAGGTATGGCCTTTGTGTGTTCAAATTTTTAACGAGAATTTTTTCAAGTAGCTAAGACCTTCAAAATTCAAGTTTTTAATAGCTGTATAGCATTTCAAATTATGAATGTACCCCAATTAATTTAATCAATTTCTTATTGTTACAAAATTTTTAGGTGTTTTCAATACTAAACATTAATGAATAATGAATATTTTTATATACAATTTTTTTTACTATATCTGATTAAGATTTTACTTGGCTAGACCCTAAGAAGTCGAAATAGAGAAGCAAAGGTTATAAATAATTTTAAGACTTTTGATACCTTATGTCAAAAATGCTTTACAAAAGGTTGTACCAAGTTATACTTCCACCAGAAGCTTGTGTATCATGCATTCACCAGCAAGACTGTAATTTTAAAATCTTAAATAAGAAAAAAATGGGATGTCAATGTTTGATGTGTATTTCATAAAATTTTTTTGATGATCAATTACACAGAACTAATTTTATATGTATTAGTCATTTTTACTTCTTCTGTGAAGTATCTGCCTAATTTTTTTTTTTTTTTTTTTTTTTGAGATGGAGTCTCGCTCTATCACCCAGGCTGGAGTGCAGTGGCATGATCTTGGCTCACTGCAAGCTCTACCTCCCAGGTTCACGCCATTCTCCTGCCTCAGCCTCCTGAGTAGCTGGGACTACAGGCACCCACCACCACGCCTGGCTAATTTTTTTGTATTTTTTAGTAGAGACGGGGTTTCACCATGTTAGCCAGGATGGTCTCAATCTCCTGAGCTTGTGATCCGCCTGCCTCAACCTCCCAAAGTGCTGGAATTACAGGCATGAGCCACTGTGCCCAGGCTTTATACATTTTAATGTATGTGTATATGCATATTTATGGATAAATGCATATATGTGAAATTGTGTGTGCATGTATATGAGTGAAAACCACTGTCCTTCCATCACTTTTATACATGGAGGGGGTCTAGGAAAGCCTATCTAGACATAATGTTTTAAATTCAATTGCAATTTATCAGAGTATACAAATGAATATTCAATAATGTGCAAAAAAAAATTTTTTTAAAGCTTATTTGTACACAGAGCAAGGGTAATTGCATTTAGGAACTTGAATAATTTCTCCAAAGAATATTTTTTTGTAGGTAAGCAATTAAAAAACATATATATATAAGATATAACAAGATGACCAAATAGGAACAGCTCCGGTCTGCAGCTCCCAGCGGGATTGACACAGAAGATGGGTGATTTCTGCATTTCCAACCGAGGTACCTGGTTCATCTCTTTGGGACTGGCTGGACAGTGGTTGCAGCCCAAGGAGGGCAAGAGGAAGGAGGGCGGGGTGTCGCCTCACCCAGGAAATGCAAGGGGTAGGGGGAATTCCCTTTCCTACCCAATGGAAGCTGTGACAGACTGTACCTGGAAAAACGGGACACTCCCACCTAAATACTGCACTTTTCCCAAGGTCTTAGCAACAGGCAGACAAAGAGATTCTCTCCCGTGCCTGGCTCAGCGGGTCCCACGCCCACAGAGCCTTGCTCACTGCTAGCGCAGCAGTGTGAGATTGAACTGTAAAGTGGCAGCCTGGCTGGGGGAGGGGCGTCCGACATTGCTGAGGCTTGAGTAGGTAAACAAAGCAGCCAGTAAGCTCAACTAAGCGCAGCCCACTGCAGCTCAGCAAGGCTTACTGCCTCTAGACTCCACCTCTGTGGGCAGGGCTTAACTAAACACAAGGCAGCAGACAACTTCTGCAGACTTAACCTCCCTGGCTGACAGCTCTGAAGACAGCAGTGGTTCTCCCAACATGGCATCTGAGCTCTAAGAACAGACAGACTGCCTCCTCAAGTGGGTCCCTGACCCCTGTGTAGCCTAACTGGGAGTCACCTCCCAGTAGGGGCCAACAGACACCTCATATAGGTGGGTGCCCCTCTGGGACAAAGATTCCAGAGGAAGGATCAAGCAGCAATATTTGCTGTTCTGCAATATATGCTGTTCAGCAGCTTCCGCTGATGATACCCAGGCAAACAGGGTCTCCGGCAAACTCCAACAGAACTGCAGCCGAGGGAAAACTAACAAACAGAAAGGAATAGCATCAACATCAACAAAAAGGACATCTACACAAAACCCCAACTGTAGGTCACCAACATCAAAGACCAAAGGTAGATAAAACCACAAAGATGGGGAGAAACCAGAGCAGAAAAGCTGAAAATTCTAAAAATCAGAACGCCTCTTCTCCTCCAAAGGATCGCAGCTCCTCGCCAGCCAACAGAACAAAGCTGGATGGAGAATGACTTTGCTGAGTTGACAGAAGTAGGCCTCAGAAGGTCGGTAACAACAAACTTCTCCAAGCTAAAGGGAACATGTTTGAACCCATCGCAAGGAAGCTAAAAACCTTGAAAAAATGTTAGACAAATGTCTAACTAGAATAAACAGTGTAGAGAAGAATTTAAATGACCTGATGGAGCTGAAAACCATGGCATGAGAACTTCGTCCCGCATGTACAAGCTTCAGTAGCCAATTCCATCAAGTGGAAGAAAGGGTATCAGTGATTGAAGATCAAATTAATGAAATAAAGCGAGAAGGCAAGGTTAGAGAAAAAAGAGTAAAAAGAAATGAACAAAACCTCCAAGAAACATGGGACTATGTGAAAAGACCAAATCTATGTTTGATTGGCATACCTGAAAGTGATGGGGAGAATGGAACCAAGTTGGAAAACAACTCTTCAGGATATTATCCAGGAGAACTTTCCAACCTAACAAGGCAGGCCAACATTCAAACTCAGGAAACACAGAGAACACCACAAAGATACTCCTCGAGAAGAGAAACCCCAAGACACATAATTGTCAGATTCACCATGGTTGAAATGAAGGAAAAAATGTTAAGTGCAGCCAGAAAGAAAGGTCGGGTTACCCACAAAGGGAAGCCCATCAGGCTAACAGCAGATCTCTTGTCAGAAATGCTACAAACCAGAAGAGAATGGGGGCCAATATTCAATATTCTTAAAGAAAAGAACTTTCAACCCAGAATTTCATATCCAGACAAACTAAGCTTCATAAGTGAAGGAGAAATAAAATCACTTACAGACAAGCAAATGCTGAGAGATTGTGTTACCACCAGGCCTGCCTTACAAGAGCTCCTGAAGGAAGCACTAAACACAGAAAGAAACAACTGGTATCAGCCACTGCAAAAACATGCCAAATTGTAAACACCATTGATGCTATGAAGAAACTGCATCAATTAACAGGCAAAATAACCAGCTAACACCAAAATGACAGGATTAAATTCACACATGACAATATTAACCTTAAATGTAAATGGGTTAAATGCCCCAATTAAAAGACAGACTGGCAAATTGGATAGAGTCAAGACCCATCAGTGTGCTGTATTCAGGAGACCCATCTCACGTGCAGAGACACACATAGGCTCAAAATAAAGGGATGGAGGAAGATCTACCAAGCAAATGCAAAACAAAAAAAAGCAGGGGTTGCAATCCCAGTCTCTGATAAAACAGACTTTAAACCAAGAAAGATCAAAAGAGACAAAGAAGGTCATTACATAATGGTAAAGGGATCAATTCAACAAGAAGAGCTAACTATCCTAAATATATATGCACCCAATACAGGAACACCCAGATTCATAAAGCAAGTCCTTAGAGACCTACACAGAGACTTAGACTCCCACACAATAATAATGGGAGACTTTAACACCCCACTGTCAATATTAGACAGATCAATGAGACAGAAGGTTAACAAGAATATCTAAGACTTGAACTCAGCTCTGCACCAAGCAGATCTAATAGACATCTACAGAACTCTCCACTCCAAATCAACAAAATATACATTCTTCTCAGCACCATGTCGCACTTATTCTAAAATTGACAACATATTTGGAAGTAAAGCACTCCCCAGCAAATATAAAAGAACATAAATCACAACAAACTGTCTCTCAGACCACAGTGCAATCAAACTAGAACTGAGGATTAAGAAACTCATCCAGAATCGCACAACTACATGGAAACTGAACAACGTGGTCCTGAATGGCTACTGGGTAAATAATGAAATGAAGGCAGAAATAAAGATGTTCTTTGAAGCCAATGAGAACAAACACACAATGTACCAGAATCTCTGGGACACAGCTAAAGCAGTGCTTTGAGGGAAATTTATAGCAATAAATGCCCATAAGAGAAAGCAGGAAAGATAAAAAATCAACATCCTAACGTCACAATTAAAAGAACTAGAGAAGCAAGAGCAAACACATTCAAAAGCTAGCAGAAGGCAGGAAATAACTAAGATCAGAGCCGAACTGAAGGAGATAGAGACAAAAAAGGCTCTTCAAAAACTCAATGAATCCAGGAGCTGGTTTTCTGAAAAGCTCAACAAAATTGAAAGACTGCTAGCAAGACTAATAAAGAAGAAAACAGAGAAGAATCAAAGAGACACAATAAAAAATGATAAAGGGGATATCACCACCGATCCCACAGAAATACAAACTACCATCAGAGAATACTATAAATACCTCTACTCAAATAAACTAGAAAATCTAGAAGAAATGGATAAATTCCTGGACACATACACCCTTCCAAGACTAAACTAGGAAGAAGTTGAATCTCTGAATAGACCAATAACAGGTTCTGAAATTGAGGCAATAATTAATAGCCTACCAACCAAAAAAAGTCCAGGACCAGACAGATTCACAGCCAAATTCTACCAGAGGTACAAAGAGGAGCTGGTACCATTCCTTCTGAAACTATTCCAACCAATAGAAAAAGAGGAATCCTCCCTAACTCATTTTATGAGGCCAACATCATCCTGATACCAAAGCCTGGCAGAGACACAAGAAAAAAAGAGAATTTTAGACCAATATCCCTATGAATATCGATGTGAAAATCCTCAATAAAATGCTCGCAAACCAAATCCAGCAGCACATCAAAAAGCTTATCCACCACAATCAGGTCAGGTTCATCCCTGGGATGCAAGGCTGGTTCAACATATGCAAATCAATAAACATAATCCATCAAATAAACAGAACCAACAAAAAAACCCACACGATTATTTCAATAGATGCAGAAAAGACCTTTGACAAAATTCTACAGCCCTTCATGCTAAAAACTCTCAATAAACTAGGTACTGATGAAACATATCTCAAAATAATAAGAACTATTTATGACAAACCCACAGCCAGTATCATACTGAATGGGCAAAAACTGGAAGCATTCCCTTTGAAAACCGGCACAAGACAAGGATGCCCTCTCTCACCACTCCCATTCAACATAGTATTGGAAGTTCTGGCCAGGGCAATCAGGCAAGATAAAGAAATAAATGGTATTCAGTTAGGAAAAAGAGGAAGTCAAATTGTCTCTGTTTATAGATGACAGGATTGTATATTTAGAAAACCCCATCATCTCAGCCCAAAATCTCCTTAAGCTGATAAGCAACTTCAGCAAAGTCTCAGGATACAAAATCAATGTGCAAAAATCACAAGCATTCTTGTATGCCAATAACAGACAGAGTCAAATCATGAGTGAACTCACATTCACAACTAATACAAAGAGAATAATATACCTAGTAATACAACTTACAAGGATGTGAAGGACCTCTTCAAGGAGAACTACGAACCACTGCTCAACAAAATAAAAGAGGACACAGACAAACGGAGAAACATTCCATGCTCATGGACAGGAAGAATCAACATCGTGAAAATGGCCATACTGCCCAAGGTAATTTATAGATTCAGTGCCATCCCCATCAAGCTACCAATGACTTTCTTCGGAGAATTGGAAAAAACTACTTTAAAGTTCATATGGAACCAAAAAAGGGCCTGCATTGCCAAGACAATCCGAAGTAAAAAAAATGAAGCTGGAGGCATCATGTTATCTGACTTCAAACTATACTACAAGGCTACAGTAACCAAAACAGCATGGTACTGGTACCAAAACAGAGATATAGACCAATGGAACAGAACAGAGGCCTCAGAAATAATACCACACATCTACAACCATCTGATCTTTGACAAACCTGACAAAAACAAGCAATGGGGAAGGGATTCCCTATTTAATAAATGGTGCTGGGAAAGCTGGCTAGCCATATGTAGAAAGCTGAAACTGGATCCCTTCCTTACACCTTATACAAAAATTAATTCAACATGGATTAAAGACTTAAATGTTAGACCTAAAACCATAAAAACACTAGAAAAAAACCTAAGCAATACCATTCAGGACATAGGCATGGGCAAGGACTTCATGACTAAAACACCAAAAGCAATGGCAACAAAAGCCAAAATTGACAAATGGGATCTAATTAAACTAAAGAGCTTCTGCACAGCAAAAGAAACCACCATCAGAGTGAACAGGCAACGTACAGAATGGGAGAAAATTTTTGCAATCTACCCATCTGACAAAGGGCTAATATCCAGAATCTACAAAGAACTCAAACAAATTTACAAGAAAAAAAAAAAACCCTGTCACAAAGTGGGCAAAGGATATGAACAGACACTTCTCAAAAGAAGACATTTATGTAGCCAACAGACACATGAAAAAATGCTCATCATCACTGGCCATCAGAGAAATGCAAATCAAAACCACATTGAGATACCATCTCACACCAGTTAGAATGGTGATCATTAAAAAGTCAGGAAACAACAGGTGCTGGAGAGGATGTGGAAAAACAGGAACACTTTTACACTGTTGGTGGGACTGTAAACTAGTTCAACCATTGTGGAAGACAGTGTGGTGATTCCTCAAGGATCTAGAACTAGAAATACCATTTGACCCAGCCATCTCATTACTGGGTATATACCCAAAGGATTATAAATCATGCTGCTATAAAGACACATGCACACGTATGTTTATTGTGGCACTACTCACAAAAGCAAAGACTTGGAACCACCCCAAATGTCCAACAATGATAGAGTGGATTAAGAAAATGTGGCACATATACACCATGGAATACTATGCAGCCATAAAAAAGGATGAGTTCATGTCCTTTGTAGGGACATGGATGAAGCTGGAAACCATCATTCTCAGCAAACTGTCGCAAGGACAAAAAACCAAACACTCATAGGTGGGAATTGAAAAATGAGACAGGAAGGGGAACATCACACACCAGGTCCTGTCGTCGGGTGGGGGGAGTGGGGAGGGATAACATTAGGAGATATACCTAATGTAAATGACGAGTTAATGGGTGCAGCACACCAACATACCACATGTATACATATGTAACAAACCTGTACATTGTGCACATGTACCCTAGAACTTAAAGTATAATAAAAATAAAATTAAAAAAAAGAAAATCAAAAAAATAAATAAAATAACAAATAAATGTATAGTATAGTAAATACTAGGCAATAAAAATTTTCAGCTCCATTATAATCTTATGAAACCACCAACCAGTCGTTATGCAGTGCACAATTATATTTGAAGTACTTAACTCCATAGTTGCTATTATTACTGATGTTCAAATTGTCCCAGGTTTGTTTAGTTGGAACTTAATCAGGTCTGAGTCTGTGTTCTTTTGATACAACTCTAAGTCTTTAATAGCACCCCTCCTTTCTGATAGGACAAACTGTTTTGGGCTCATCTTGTACATCTCCTGCCCTATGTCTTGCGCTGGGTATTTATCCAAAAAGCCAGTTCTAAATCTAGAATTTAGTCACAATACGGCAACTAAGAGGGCTCATTACTCCTAGGCAGCCATTTTTCTGTATCTTTTCAGTGGACAGACTAGGAAGTATATGTATATACATGTACATATTTACTTAATTAGGTTATTTCCTGTAAATTAGTAGTAGAGTATTGCTTGATCAGATTCAGGGTTTTGTTTGTTATTGCAAAACTCCTCACAGATGATATTTTTACCAGTAACTACATATATACAGTTCCTGTATTTCCTATATACTGTTGATTCTAATTATTTACAGTAGACATGTTCTATAAAGTTACAGAGTACAACTGAATTAGAGAATACTGAAACATTGCTCCTAGGAGAAATGCAGAATTAGACACTGTAAGCCTCTGGTTATAATATTTTTTGTCAACCAATCATTATATAACCTGTTGTATGTGTGTTTCTGTATGAAGATACTTTATTTAATATATATTGTTGATTCATTAACACTGAACTTACAGGTAACAATATGACTCGCACTTGAATGAAGCACCAACTGCAGAAAGGACACTTGCTTAAAGTATGAGAGCTTGCTTGGCACAGTAGCTCACACCTGTAGTCCCAGCACTTTGGGAGGCCAAGGCGGGCGGATCACTTGAGGCCAGGAGTTCGAGACCAGCCTGGACAAGATGGCAAAAACCGTCTCTACTAAAAATACAAAAATTAGCTGGGTGTGGTGGCATGTGCCTGTAGTTCCAGCTACTTGGGAGGCTAAGAACGGAGGATCGTTTGAGCCCAGAAGGTTGACGCTGCAGTGAGCAGTGATCACACCACTGTACTCCAACTTGGGTGATGGAATGAAACCCTGTCTCAATCAATCAATATGAGATCTGGAACAAAAAAGGAAAATGTTGCTTTATCGACCTCAAACTGGGAACCTATGTGTCTGGTGACTCAAATATTTTGCCACTCTGAATACATCCATCGATGACCACAGAAGTGTCATGAATATTGATTTTTTTGAATTACAAATAAATTTTAGCAAGTAAGAGAATTCACAAATACAAATCATAAAGAGAATCAACTGTATATGTATGTAAATATATGTACATATATAGTGATAATTATAGTGACATAGCTATCATTTTGTATTTTCAAGATAAAAAGCATCAGAAGTTATATTTTAAATTCAGGACAATGGAGTTTTTACTAAATCTTCTCAGTCTTACATCTGCATCTCCTTTCTCCCATGCTGAAAATCTTGGTTCTTAATGACACTAACATAATTCCCAGCCAGGATCGATGACAAACAAAAAACCAATTTGAAACCACAACAGGATCTGAATTATTGACTTTTCCTTTTGCCTCAGGCACCAATATGACACAGCATGGTACTGCCACTGCTCCTGCCTTTATCTAAAATTTTTATTTTTTTATTTTTTATTTTTTAAAAAATTGCATCATATATATATATATATATATATATATATATATATATATATATATATATATGTATTTGAGACAGGGTTATACAACTGAATTAGAGAACACTGAAACATTGCTCCCAGGAGAGATGCATCACATATTAAATAAAGTATCTTTATACAGAAACACATATACAACAGGTTATATAATGATTGGTTGACAAAAAATATAACCAGAGGCTTGCAGGAATCTAATTCTGCATTTCTCCTGGAGCAATGTTTCAGTATTCTCTAATTCAGCTGTATAACCTTGTCTCAAACATATATATATATATTCTTTAATTCATTATATATATATATATTTGAGACAAGGTCTCACTCTGTTGCCCAGGTGGAAGTGCAGTGATGCAATCACAGCTCATTACTGTATTTGTTTTGAGTCCCTTATATTTTGTGCCTGAGGCAAATGCCTTCTTCCCTCACTCTAGTCCTGGCCCTGAATAATTCCTCACTTAATTTATTCAGGAAGAACATTCACCAGTCTCAGAAAACAAAAACAAAAAATTCCACAGCTATCAGTGATTACAGGAAACAGTTTAAGGTCTTGTTGTGGTTACTTTTATCTTTTGTATATATCACACCAAGATATACAAATTATTGGGTTTAAAAATAACTTAAAACACCCCGCTTAGCTCAGTGGGGATGGGGGCACTCCTCAGGGCACTTAGGGTCTCAGAGCCACTTCTCTCAGGCTTAAGGCCTGACGTTCAATGTGAAAAGCAATAAAAAAGAAAAAAGACAAATAAATAAATAAATAAATAGCTCTGAATGGTTTCTGAATAGAGCAGTTAGGTTCATTTTTCATTTTATTCCAATTTTTAGGAAATTCACTTTAAAACTCAAAAGCAAAATAAACAAATTAAGAGAACCTGAAATAGTAAATAAGAACATCAATATAACACACTATAAATATATACACTTGGTCTGTCTTTTCCTAGCTTTTTAAAAAGATGTTAATATTATATAAAATAATTATAACAATATTCTGTTGTATTTGTAACATATAGATGTAATATGCATAACAATAATAGCACAAAAATGGAAAGCAAAAATATAGCTATATAGAATAACATTTCTATATCTCACTAAACATACGTATAATTCTGAAGTAGACTGTGATACATTAATATGTGTTTGGGAAGTCCTAGAGCAACCACTAGTAGAATAAATGTTTATAATACAGTGAAAAAGATTACAGAAATTAAAAAATCATACTAGAAATTATTCATTTGATATAAAAGACAGCTGAAAAGAAAGAACAAAAGAAAAATGCATAAGAAATACAGAAAATAGATGAGAAATGGTAGACATAAGTCCAACTATAATGATAGCATTAAATATGAATAAATTAAACAATCCAATCAAAAAGCAGACCGTCAGGCTGGATTTAAAAAATAAATTCCAGCTATGTTCTTTCTGCAGGAGATAAACTTTAGATTCAGACACAATTAGATTGAAAGTAAAAGAGTGGCAAAAGATACATCATGCAAAAAAGCAACTATGAGAAAGCTAAAAGTGGCTATAGTAATATCAGACAAAGTAGACTTTACAACAAAAATGTTACTAGAGAGTAAGAAATATTTATAATGATAAAAGGAATAATCCATCAGGAAGATATAACATTTATAAAGATATACGAACTTAACAACTGAGCCACAAAATACATCAAATAAAAACTAATAGAAATGAAAAAGGAAATAGACAATTGGACAATAATAATTGGAGACTCCAATACCCCACTTTCAATAATGACGCCATTACCCTACTTTCAGTTAAAAAAACAACACTAGGCAGAATATCAACAAGTAAATAGAAGACTTGAACAACAGTATAAATCACCTAGATATAACAGAAATCCATAAAACACTCTACCCTACAGTAGGAGAATACACATTTTTCTCAAGTGCTCATGGAACATACTCTAGGATAGAGTATATGCTAGGCCACAAAACAAGCCTTAATAAATACACGGGTATTGAAATCATATAAATTTTGTTTTCCAACCACAATGGAATAAAATTTTAGATCAAAAACAGAAATAAATTTGGAAAGTTCACAAATATGTGGAAGTTAGTCATACTCCTAAATTACTAAAGGGTAAAATCACAAGGGAAATTTAAAAATATTTTGAGATGAATGAATGAAGAATAATATACCAAAACTTATGAGATACAGATACAGCAGTGCTTAGAGGGAAATTTATAGTTATAAATACCTATATTAAAAAAGAAGAAAGGCTGCAAATCAATAACCTAACCTTCCACCTTAAGACAATGGAAGAGGAGCAAACTAAACTTAAAGCAAGCAGGGGAAGAAATAATAGAAATGAAAGTGGAGATAAATAATATAGAGAATTGAAAAGCAATAGAGAAAAACAAAATCAGCCAGGCGCAGTGGTTCACGCCTGTAATCCCAGCACTTTGAGAGGCCGAGGCAGGCAGATCATGAGATCAGGAGATCGAGACCATCCTGGCTAACGCAGTGAAACCCCATCTCTACTAAAAATACAAAAAAATTAGCCGGGTGTGGTGGCGGGCGCCTGTCGTCCCAGCTACTCGGGAGGCCGAGGCAGGTGAATGGTGTGAACCTGGGAGGCGGAGCTTGCAGTGAGCAGAGATGGCGCCACTGCACTGCAGCCTGGGCGACAGAGTAAGACTCCGTCTCTAAATAAATAAATAAATAGAAAAGAAAAAATCAAAAATTGCTTCTTTGAAAAGATATAAAAGTTGATAAACTTTTAATTAGTCTAACCAACAAAAAGAGAGAGAAGACTCAAATAATCAGGATCAGGAATGAAAGAAGATGAAAGAAGATATGTGAGATAAATGTGAATTGTGGGGAGCTAGGGGGCAGACTGTAGTGGTTGAACAGTACCCCGAATACCCCCAAAAGAAATCTGTGCCCTAATCCTCAAAACTGTGGATGGCACCTTATTTGGAAGACAGATCTTTGCAGATGTAATTCAGTGAAGAATCCTGAAATGAGATAAATCTGGAATATTCAGGTATTCCTTAAATCCAGTGACAAGTTTCCTTAGAAAAGGGGCAGACACAGACAGAGAGAATAAGGCTATGTGAAGATGGAGGCAGAGATTAGATTATGTTATCACAAGCCAAGGAAGCCAAGGAATTCTGATAGCAACCACAGGATGGAAGAGGCAAGGAAGAATTCTTCCCTAGACCCTCCAGATGGAGTGTGGCCCTGCTAATTCCTTGATTTCAGACTTCTGGCCCCCAGAAATGAGACAATAATGTACTGTTTATGCCATCAAATTTATAGCATTTTGTTATAGCATCCCTGGGAAATTAATAGAGAAGGAATGTTCCTCAACCTGATAAAAGGTATTTATGAAAACCATAGCTAACATCATACTTAATGGTGAGACACAATGTTTCTCGCTTACAATCCAGAAAAACAGTGTCCAATTTTTCAGCTTCTAGTCAACATTGTACTGTGGGTTCTAGAAAAGGAATTAGGTAAGAAAATTAAATAAAAACGAGTCCATATGGAAAAAGTAAAACAGTCTCTCTTCACAAATGACATGATTGTGTATATGTAACCCCCTAAAGAATCCACAAAAGCAAATAATCAAGACTGTGTGGTACTGATATAAGGACAGACATACACCAGTGAAATACAATTGAGAGTCCAGAAATCCATCCTTATACTTACGGTCAATTGATTTTTGGTAAGTTTGCCAAACAAATTCAATGAAAGAAAACAATAGTCTTATCAAAAAATTGTGCTGGGACAACTGGATATCTACAAACAAAAGAAAATAATTGAAACTCTTTCTCATGCCATATACAACAATTAACTCAAAATGGATGACAAACCTAAATGTAGAAATGAAAATTATACAATTCTTAAAATATGGATTAAATCTTCATGACTATGGGTTAGGCAAAGTCTTCCAAGATGTGATATCAAAAGCACAAGGAAGAAACGAAAACACAGATAAACCAGATTTTATCAAAATTAGTTAACTTTTATGCTTCAAAGGATGCCATACAGATTTTTTTTTAAACCCATAGGATAGGAGAACATGTTTGCAAATCATATATCTGATAAGCAACTTGTATGCAGAATATATAAAGAACTCACAAATCTGTTATGGATTGAATATTTGTGTCCCCTCAAAATTCATATATTGAATCTGTAGGCCCCATTGTAATGGTATTTGGTGATGGGACTTTTGGGAAGCAATGAGGGTTAGATGAGGTCATGAGAGTATGGCACTCATGATGGGATTAGTGCCCTTAAAAGAAGAGACACAAGAGATCTTGCTCTTTCTCTCCCCTCACCATGTGAGGACACAATGAGAAGGTGGCCATCTACAAGAGGGAAGAGAGACTTCACCAGCAACTGACCATGCTGGTTCCTTGATGAGACTTCTAGCCTCCAGAACAGTGATAACATAAATTTATGTTGTTTAAGCCACCCAGTCTATGGTATTTTGTTAAGGCAGCCTAAGCTAAAGCACAGTTCAATAATAAAGACACAGTAATCCAAATTTTTAAGTAGACAAACAAGCTGAATATACATTTCTCCAGAGAAGATATACAAACACCCAATAAGTACAGGAAGCAATGCTCAATAATATTAGCCATTAGGTAAATGCAAATCAAAACCAGAACAGATACCACTTCACACCCAGAGGATGGGTAAAATCAAAAGGATAGATAATAACACGTGTTGGTGAGGATGTAAAGAAATTAGAGCCTTCATAAGTTGATGGTGGGAATGCAAAATGCTCCAGTCATTCGGGAGTCTGGCAGTTCTTCAAATGTTTAAATGTAACATTACCACACAACCACACCTTTTTATATACCCCAAAGAAATAAAAACATATTTCCAAACAAATATGTATATACAAATGTCAGCATCATGTATAATGCTATAATTATTCATAATAGCTAAAAATTGGGAACTATCTAAAACGTCTACCAATTATGAATGGATAAGTAAAATGTAGTTCATATATACAATTAAATACTATTCAGCAATAAGAAGTAATGAAATATTGATTCTACAACATGGAGGAACCTTGAAAACATTATGCTGTCAAAGAAGCCAATCACGAAAGGCCCCATACTGTATGAGTCTACTTATTTAAAATGTCCAGAATAGGTAAATCTATAAAAATTGGAGGCAAATTAGTGGCTTCCTACAACTGGAGAAATTGGGGGAAAATGAGAAGTGACTAGTAATGATTATGGGGTTTCTTTTGGGGTGATGACAATGTTCTAAAATTTTATAATTATGATTATGGTAATAGTTGTACAACTTTGTGAATACATAAAACTCACTGAACTGTACACTGTAAGTCTGTGAAATGTATGGTATGTAAATTATATCTTAATAAAGCTGTTTAAAAAAAAAAAGAAGGCTGGGCGTGGTGTCTCATGCCTGTAATCCCAGCACTTTGGGAGGCTGAGGCAGGCAGATCACACTGGGAGGCCGAGGCAGGCAGATCACAAGGTCAGGAGTTCGAGATCAGTCTGGCCAACATAGTGAAACCCATCTCTACTAAAACTATAAAAAATTAGCTGGGTATGGTGGTGTGCACCTGTAGTCCCAGCTACTCAGGAGGCTGAGGCAGGAGAATCGCATGAACCTGGGAGGCGGAGGCTGCAGTGAGCCAAGATCGCGCCACTGCACTCCAGCCTGGGCTACAGTGCGAAACTCTTGTCTAAAAAAAAAGAGTAGTAGAGAACCAGTGAGCATTCTTGCCTTACTCCCGACTTTGGCTGAAAAGCATCTAGTATTTCCCAATAAATGAGATAAAAGTTTTTGGCCTGAAATATATCTACTTTTTAATGTTAATGAGGATATATTCATCAATTCCTCTCCCACTGAACATTCTTTAACATGAATGTGTGCCAAGTTTTGCCATATGCCTTTTCAGGATTTATGGAGTGTAATCATATGAGTTTCCCTATTTGTTTCATTGATATGATCAATTACATAGTTTAATTTTCTAATATTGAATCATTCAATATTCCTGGAATATATAAGGAATATATAAGTGTTTGCTATTATTAATCTGTAAGTTCTGGATTGATATTTTAAAAGGTATTGATATGTAGTTTTCTTTTTTGGTGCAATCCTTGTCAAGTTTAAGGATTACAGCATCATCATTTCATAAAACAATTTTGGAAGTTCTCCTTCTTCTTTTACACACTGAAATAATTTAAATGGCACTATGATCATTGGCTATTTAAAGGTCTGATAAAATTTTCCCGTGAGATTATATGGACCTAGTAATTTTTGTTCTGTTCATTGCTTTGGTTTTCTTCTTCAAAGTTAAAAAAATAGATACTATATCTATCTTCTGTATCTCTCACTTTCTCTTGACTCTCTTAAATCTCTTTCATATCTTTTTTATTAAAAAGATTCTTTATATCTTATTATACTTGTATTAAGTGATTGGTATGGTTTGGATATTTCACCCCTCCAAATCTCATGTTGAAATCTGATCCAAATCTCAAGTTGGAGGTGGGGCCTAATGGGAGGTGTCTGGGTCATGGAGACAGATCCCTCATGAATGGATTAATGTGCTCCCTAGGGTGCAGTACGGGGGCACTGAGTGAGATCTGGCTCTATTACGAGTTGGTTGTTAAAAAGAACCTGGCACCTCCCCACTCACCTCTTGCTTCCTTTCTGGTTATGTGCTATCTGTACACAGCCAGCTTGGCTCCCCTTCACCTTCTTCCATGAACCTTCTTTCTTTAACTTGAAGCCATCACCTGATGCAGATGCTGGCACCATTCTTCTTGAACAGTCTGCAAAACTGTGAGTAAAATAAAACTCTTTTCTTTATAAATTACGCAGCTTCAGGTATTCCTTTTCAGCAAATAAATGGACTAAGACAGTCATTATCTATTGTTTGCGTTTTTTTCTAGTTCATTTCTGAAATAATATTTCTCTCTAAATGTTTCCTGAGTATTGGAAGTTTTTGTGTGAAATCTTCCTTTTCTTCTCTCACATCATTTATGATTTTTTTCAAGTTCTGATTTATGTTGCTTTTTCCCTCATACCTTCTGTCCTTTTCTTAAATTTCAAAGCTCATTTTGGAATACTGAGTTACAATTTTTATCTGTTTGAGGGCATGTCTGTGAAATCTTATTGTCTGTAGAAACATTTGGCTCCTATTCTCTCTTGTCATATAATAATTTTGTATGGGATTTAATTGTGATAATGTTCTGTAACGTATTCACTTAAATGAAGCAAGTTTGCTTCTACTTTTAAAGGGAGAGACAGGCCAGAGTAGCTTTTCTTTACTTCACAGTCATCAGATACTATCATATCATGATTCTATTACACCCACCCAACATTGGGATTCTGTTTCCAATTGCTGCTCCTCTTCTCACACTACCCCATAATGCTTTACAGTAAGCACCTTTGGCAATTTGAGGGTTCTTCTGCACTCAATGACGTCAAAGCCCATTTGTTTCCCTCTCCTTTCTTTAGTCAAATGCTGATATCACGCAGATCTATAGATGTTGGTGGTTTGTTCCTGCATGCGCGTAACTGGGGTCTGTAGGGTATTGAAGATGTTATCTGTGTGTTTTTGGTTTCACTATTCTGGTTGATCTATTGCTATTTATAGGAGAAATTAGTGAGGTTTAAAACTATCACCATCACTATCATCATCCCCACACTATTTCCAAACTGTCATTCAGCTATTAAGATCCTAAGAAAAATATGAGGGTAATGAATAGATGAAATTAACTAGCTGACATAAGTATACTGCTTGTATTTAAATTATTGATTATGTTGTAACTTTCAGGGAAACATCTGAGGCTTCTTTGGAAAACAAATGCTTTTATTACACTTAGAAAAGTACTCCAGAAATATCTTTTTAACCAAATTCAATCAATGGGATGTTATCCCAGTAATGACTAATTTCATACTCTTCATTGTACATTATGTTAATTTTTCAGGAAAAATAGCATAACTTATGAGACCAAAATAAATACAGACAAAAATACAGAAAGGGATTCTGAAAGGTTCTGCCTTAAAAGTAAAACAAAAATTAGCAAAGAAGCACCATTAAGTCAAAAGGACTTCACATGGCTGAGCATGTGGTTTGGCACCTGTAATCCCAGCACTTTGGGAGGCCGAGGAGGGCAGATCACTTGAGGCCAGGAGTTCAAGACCAGCCTGGCTAACATGGCAAAACCCCATCTCTACTAAAACTACAAAAATTAGCCGGGAGTGGTGGTACATGCCTGTAGTCCGAGCTACTTGGGAGGCTGAGGCATGGAAATCGCTTGAATCTGAGAGGTGGAGGTTGCAGTGAGCTGAGATCATGCCACTGCACTCTTGCCTGAGTGACAGAGCGAGACTCTGTCTCCAAAAAAAAAAAAAAAAAAAAAAAAAGACTTCACAGAACAAAAACAAGTTTCCAGTGTGTGCAGTGTGTGAAAAAATGGGTATAATTCCTCTTTTACTGTCTCTCTAAACTGAAACATGTTCCAGCAAAATACTACATAATATGGAGCAGCAGCCTAGTGGCCTAGCGTTCTAGCTAACATTGAGGTAATGTTATTCTAACTTTTCACTTCTCCTTCATACACAGCTATATCTATATATAGACATATATATCTTTAATGATTTTTTTAAAGTCACCGATAATCCCACATGAAAAAAGTTCTCTCTCTTTCCATCCACACTGTCCTTTATATAATTCATTTTTTAAATTTATTTTTATTTTTATATATTTACTTTTTGGAGACAGGGTCTTGCTCTGGTGCCCAGGCTAGGTTGCAGTGGTGCAATCATAGTTCACTGCAGCCTCAAACTCCTGGGCTCAAGCAATCCTCCCGCCTTAGTGTCCGCAGTAGCTAGGACTGCTGGTGTGTGCCGCCACATCCAGCTAATTTATTTTTATTTTTTGTAGAGACAGGTCTCATTATATGGCCCAGGCTGGTCTCTAAGTCCTGGCCTCAAGCAATCCTTCTGCCTCAGCCTCCCAAAATGCTGGGATTACAGGCATAAGCCACTGCACCTAGCCCATATAATTTTTCACACAAAACTCACTGTTCTCTTTTTAAACTTAACACTATGATAACATGCAAAAACTGTTTTCAAAGTTGTAATTTTAATGACAGCATTTATTTTATTAAATTCCTTTAAGGAACAGTAAGTAGTTGTAACAATTGGCAACTCAATGGCCAAATATGAATTCTCAAAGCTATACTATACAAATGAATGAAATGGTATCATATATGATCTCTACATATCTTACAAATAAAGATAATTTATGCTCAAAGCAGAGAATATAAGCAAATTCAGAAGCAGAGCTCTGTTTACCTTTACAAGGGCTATCCATAGGTTAATCAAGGACCCTGGCTATTAAAAACAAATGGCTGCACTTGAAAGCACAGATTGCTCCTCCTCTGTGTTATGAAGTGTGATGATATGAAACTTAAGCTTACCTGTAAAAACTAAAATACATCTTTATTACAATGGAACTAATTTTAACTTAATTTTTCTACCCAACCACAAAGCCAATGCCACATACCTTAAAGGTTTTTTTGTTCAGAAACCTCCACTTTTCAAGGTACCAATTTCTATATAGGTTCAGGCGACAACTGCAATGAAAATAAAAAAAAAAAATGTATAATGGCTCTAAAAGTAGAGAATTTTATTTATTGCTCTGATAAAGTACAAAATACATTACTGATGGATTGGCAATATTCCTCCACCTGGTGATTCAGGAACCTAGGCTCTTTTCATCTTGCGGCTCCACCATCGTCAAAATGTGGCTTCCAAAGTCACCATGCATGTTTGCACCATGCCACAGAAGGGGAAAGGGCATGCAGAATTGTGTGTCTTTTCTGAGGTAAAAGGCTTCCACTCACATTCCACTAGCTAGAACCCAGTCACTCGGCCATTACAAAGAAGGCTTAAAATGTCGTAGAACCATCTGTCCTGGAAGAAGAGGAAATTCTAGCCAGTCTAGTCAGTCTTTGCTACGCTTTTTCAGCAACTGTTTTTGCTTAATAAACTCTTTAATTCTCTTATTATTCAAATAAGAGAATTTTATCCTTTTAATTGGTCTAGAAAAAATTAGATTTTTTCACTAATGAAAGTTGGTCTTTGATCAATACACATGAATGTACATTTGGTAATGTTCCATTAAAATGCCAGGAACATTATTTTTAATCTTTGCAAACAAGAGAACAAAAAAGCAAAGGAGCTAAAAGGAGTGAGAATGTAAATAATGTGAGATCTAATGCCTTTCAAGCTATAATCCGTTTTTAATTACTTGTACTAATATGTATGGCAAGTTTTACTTCTCAATTTTTTTGTATATAACCAAGAGTTGATGGCAAGTTTTACTTCTCAATTGTGTTTTACATATATGACCAAGAGTTGATTTTATATACTTAAACTCTATACTTACCATGAAAGAAACTTCTCATACTAATCAATCCACACAATACTCCTGAGTTTAGACAATGCCATTTAAAATTCTTTGAGACAAAATGGACAAGAAAATAAGGGTTTATTCAAAGCCACAAAGGGAAGCAGCATGTGATGCCCAGTACTATACTCACAACAAATTTTCCCTCTAGAAAGGAACCAACTGAATTCTTTGTTTTTTATATTGGTAGAAATGCAGTAGAAAATAGAAATTAAGTGAAGGAAATATACACAATGTCTTAAAATTAGTATACTAACTTATAAAACTGGAACAGAATCAGTTTTAGGCATGCATGATTTTCTTTCAAACAGTAATATTTTCTTGTAAAATTACTGAATAATAAAGCATGTGTGAACAGTCATTTTCATTTTCTAGTATCCTGCACAAGTATAACTATACATTTTAAAAATCTATATTGAAGTGAACAATCTAGGATGTTTACTAACACAAAGGTGTTAATCTCACATCATAAAATGTCATGTAATAAAACAATCTTCACAGTATTTGTTCTAAAAAGTGGTTACAGCCCATGTCCAAATACCTATATGGAGAGTTAACTGAGTTAACTTTAGAAAATAAAGAGCAGAAATATAAATATACCATGTGTTTTATAATTAATATTAAACTTGATGCTGTTTCATATTTTGATAAGAATACCAGTATGCTAAAGTACATAAGAGAATGAACAATTTTTACTTTAAAAAAATTAAGGTATCCATCTCAATCACACCTGCTTCAAAGGTACAAGACAACCAGCAGAAGTTTCTTTAAGATCATGTGAATGGTTCTCGGGACATTTCTGTGTCCTCTGGCACCTGAAGACATTGCCTGAATTTCATCAAATGTTTCTTGATTTCAGTTTTCCTTTGGTAATTCATCTCTTAGTTCCAATATAACTTCTTTGACTACTTGTTTGTGTTTCTAGATGCAGAATTATTTTGTCAGGGAAAAGTAAGTTGATGTGTAACCTGCAGAAACTTCCAGAAGACTCTGATCAATAATACTATTAGAAATTCTTCCTGATGATGCCAATGGTAGAGTCCTGAATCAGGAGGCAAAAGCAAGCCTTGGAAAGCTATCTTATATTTCAAAATGTCAGTAAGGTAAGCCTAGTATATTTCAGGTACCAGTCCTACAAACTTACATGAGGGGAGACATGTAAACAAATTTTAAAATGTGTAATAGGTGCTACATTAGAATGCTGTGCCTAGTACAACTGATGAACAAGGAAGCATCTGACCAATTCTATCCATCATGTCAATAATGATTCCACAAAGAAGGTTAACATCAGGGCTGAAGGGGGTCTTCAAAATTAGTAGGTATCCCCCAAGTGTATGTTGTGGAATGGAGTGGTCTGAGTAAAAACAGCATGAACAAAGGTAAAGAGGCTTAACTAGCACAACATGTTAGTGGAATTAAAGTAGTTTAGTATGATTTTCATTGAATGGGGGGCTGAGCTGGGCATGATATGAAAGAAACAATAGAAAGGCAGGATAAAGTCATTATGAAAAACATTTCTCTCATGCTACGGAGTTTGGATTTCTTCCTATAGGCAATGAAGAACCACTGAGAAGGAGTGATTGACATGATCTTCCAGAGAAATAATTCTGATAGTCATATGGAAGAAAGAGCAAAACTGAAGGTGATACAATTGTTAGGCTGTTATAGTGATCCAGAAGAGAGCTAAGGAGGCAGTCTGAAGAGAGGCCATACCAAAGAGGATAGGGAGGATGGCAGAGATGCTAAGAAAGTATATGGCTCAGGGCATGATTGCTTATTCAATGTGAGAGATGCAAAGTGGGAGGTGTAAAAAAGATGACTCTCAAGTTTCTGGTTTGGATTACTGGATTGTTCATAGCTTCATTCACCAAAACTTGAATTGCTGGAGAAACAAAAGATTTGGAGATGAGTAAAATATGTTTCCTTTTGGATATGTTGATTCTGAAGTGCCTTATGGGATATTTAGATGGAGAACTCACTTAATGAGTGTATAAAAGAAACAAACAAACAAACAAACAAACAGCAAGTATACCGTAAGCAACAATTAGGCATAAGAAAACAGACAGGACCACCAAAGAAGTAAAAGGAATTTCACATAATGGGCAACCATGTTCTGTTCTGCAGGGAAGGTAATTAATATGAAGACTGAAGAAAGTCTTTTTGGTTAATTTGATTTGGATTGGGTAATTTGATCAACAGTTTCATTATGGCTTCCAACAACAAATAGTTATTGAAGTCTTCAATGAGGTAGATTTAAGAGTGAATAGGTGAGGACTTCGCGGTAATAAAATAAAATGGCAGCTACCTATGTCCGTCATAAACGATACAGAACAAGAAGAATAAATAAATCTATACAAAATACACCCTCAGCCTAACAAGAAGAAAAATATAGCCAAATGTCAAATACTTATAAGTAAAAAAATTAAAAGCACCAAATCCAAGTGAGTGATCTTTCACATTTCTACCATAAGCCTTTGTAGCAAGCAAGGGCAGGCCAAAGAAGAACATACAGAATAAAGAAAAACGGATCTAGTGGCAGGCCTAAAATTGGTCTAAAATCACCAGCAGAGATAGAAATTCTATCCTAGGTGCAAAAATATAAAGTATCTTAGTATCACAACACTTATTACAGGATAGCTTCAGGGAGTGGAGAGAGCAAAAAGAATAGGCAAGGTGCCTTTTGGCAACTGGATGGTGAAGGGGAAAAGAAGCAACAGGAGAAATTCAGGGTCCTGCAAGACAAAAACAAAAAACAAAAAACTGGAACATACATAATCCCTCCCTCTACTATAAAGTTAAAAAAAACACCCCCTAAAGAAATTGTATTTTCTATGCTGACAGAGAGAGTCCTTCTGAACTAGGAATCTTATAACCCCTCAAATTCAAAAAAATGAATGGAAGGAAATGGACTAAATCTATATAATGGTAGTATGAGAAATCAGCAAACAATAATTAACATGCATTGGCTGATGAAAATTCTCTACCAAAAAGCAACCATTAAATCAGAAGAAAATTGTAACACAACATATCAAACTGAATAAAATCCTCAGATAAGCATTTGGGGATATGAAAAAGCACCGTGAATTGGAAATTCAAAATATAAAAAACAGAAATAGATTAAAAAAACCACGAGTAAATTTAAAGATTATTGAATTCAAGAAAGAAATGGAAGGGGGGGAATTATAAATGAAGACTAAATTACAAGGTGTCCAAAGGAAAACAGACTAATGAAAACTTAGACACTGGATAGATGCAAAAATAAACAAATAAATACGATACAGAAAAGAAGGAAAAATGGTCAGAAAGAGAAAGTTGAACAAAAGATAAATAACTCACATATAATTGGAACCCCTGAAGAAGAAATAAAAAACAATGGAACAGAATATTTAACATTATAATCCATGAAAAATTATCAGAAATAAAAAGGATCTGAATCTACATTTTGAAAGGGATTTCCAGTTAACTGGAAAAGTAAACTTTGAATGTTAACTCCAAGACACATCTCAGTAAAACTATTTAAACTTGAAAAAAAAATTTTTCTTTTTTTCTTTTTTTTTTTTTGAGACGGAGTCTCGCTCTGTTGCCCAGGCTGGAGTGCAGTGGCGCACTCTCGGCTCACTGCAAGCTCTGCCTCCCGGGTTCACGCCATTCTCCTGCCTCAGCCTCCCGAGTAGCCAGGACTACAGGCGCCCACCACCACACCAGGCTAATTTTTTGTATTTTTAGTAGAGATGGGGTTTCACCATGTTAGCCAGGATGGCCTTGATCTCCTGACCTCGTGATCTGCCCGCCTCAGCCTCCCAAAGTGCTGGAATTACAGGCGTGAGCCACCGAGCCAGGCCGAAAAAAATTTTTTAATCCTCGAGGATTCAGGGATACGTGATCAAATAATTTACAAGGGCAAAATAATTAGACTGGTATCAGATTTCTCAAAAAATATATATAAAGCAAGACAATAAATTTTCAAAAAACTGAAAGTGTGAACCAAGATTTTATATTCAGTCAAGCTGTCCTTCAGTATAAAACACTATAATAGAAAAACAGCTTCAAACACATAACTTAGACAATTATGTACCCCTGAGCCACTCATGAAGATCTACTAATGAATGAGCTTCATTCAACAAGAGATGACTGAAAAACTTCAGCAAAATAAAATTACAATATTTACTATATTTAATAGTAGCTTTCAGACTAAACCAACAGTAGGAATTCGAGTGCAAAACCAATACACAAACATTATATGTTGCAATCAGGTAGAAATAAAACAACTAAAAAATGGGAGCAAAAAGACGTGAGATTAAAATCATTGATCGCTGTATAGGCAATAAGTGTGAATTACAGGCATTAAAACCTGACAAACTAGATAGTAAATCTTAAATAAGAAAATGGAGAATAAAGTATAAATACAAAGATAACCACTAGAATAAAAATTCTTAACTATCAGTAAAACATTTTCATAAAATGACAAATAGTACACATTGCACAGAAAATAAATATAGCAAATATAACAATACAATTTTATGACAGGCTTCAAACCAAACACTCAGTCATATGAATGATGAGTGGGCTTGACTCACCTATTCAGCTTATTTCAATTTGTCTTACAAAGCTAGAACCAACAGTATACTGTATACAAGAAACAAAGTGATGTAAGAAGACTAAAAATAATGGGATGGACAATGAAATATAGGGGAAATGAGAACAATAAGAAAATAGGGGAGGTGATCCTGATACTAGGCAACGTAGAATCCAAGCCAAAAAAATATAAATATGACCCTCAAATCTCTTTTTTTTTTTTTTTTTTGGGACAGAGTCGTTCTTGTTGTCCAGGCTAAAGTACAATGGGGCGATCTTGGCTTACCACAACCTCCGTCTCTCAGGTTCAAGTGATTCTCCTGCCTTAACCTCCTGAGTAGCTGGGATTATGGCGCCTGACACCACACTTGGCTAATTTTTGGTATTTTTTTTTAGTAGAGACGGGGTTTCACCATGCTGGGCAGGCTGGTCTCAAACTCCTGACTTCAGGTGATCTGCCCACCTCGGCCTCCCAAAGTGTTGGGATTACAGGCGTGAGCCACTGTGCCCGGCCCAAATCTCCTTTTTAATTCTAAAATCTGTAATTCACAATAAAGACCTAACATGAATATGTATGGTACCAAATAACACTGCAAACATTCTTATGAAGCAAAAACTGCAGGGGATGCAGGAAGACAAAGATAGAAATGCATCAATAATGGGAGATAATAGCAAGCCACTCTCACTGTAAGACAAAATAAGTGGACCTTTTATTACCAATTCACTCTCCCTACTCGTTAATGTCTGATCAAATTTTTCATTTATTTAGTCATATGGAAGGAAGAGCAAAACTGAAGGTGATACAATTGTTAGGCTGTTATAGTGATCCAGAAGAGAGCTAAGGAGGCAGTCTGAAGAGAGGCTATACCAAAGAGGATAGGGAGGATGGCAGAAATGTTAAGAAAGTATACGGCTCATATAGATTCTATGGTTTTAGGAATTCATCCATTTCTTCTAGGTTATCCAATTTGTTAGCAAGTTCATGGCAATCTCGTAAGATCCTTGGTATATCTGTAGTATCATGTATAATGTCTCTGCTTTATTTTCTAATTTTATTTTAGCCTTCTCTCATTTCTTAGTTTAGATCAAGGTTTGTTGATTTTATCTTAAAAACCAACTGTTAGTTTTGTTCTTTTCTGTTGTTTTTCTAGTTTGTGTTTATTTCTGCTCTGATCTTTATTATTTCCTTCCTCCTACTAACTTTGGCCTTAATTTATTCTTCTCTTTCTAGTTCCCTAAGATATAAAGTTAGATGGTTCACAGTCTTTCTTCTTTTTCGATATAGGTGTTTATTGCTATTATCTTCCTCTTGGGACTGCTTTGGCTGCTACCCGCAAGTTTTGGCATGTGGTGTTTCCATTTTCATTTGTCTCAAGACAATTTTTAATGTCCCTTTTACTTTTGTCTTTGACCCACTGGTTGTACAGGAGAATTTGGTTTAATTCTACATATTGTGAATTTTCTGACATTTTTCCTATTATTAATTCCTAATTTCATACCACTGTGGTTGAAAGATACTGGATATGACTTTAACCTGCTTAAATTTGTTAAGTTTTCTTTTGTAGCTTAATGTATGATCTATTCTGCAGAAAGCTCTGTGTGAGCTTGAAAATAATGTGTATTCTGTTGCTATTGGATGAAATGTTCTGTATATATGTTAGATCCATTTGTCTAAACTGTGGCTCAATTCCAACATTTCCATATTGATTTTCTGTCTGCATGATCTGTACATTGTTGAAAATGGGTATTGAGGTACCCTACCATTATTGTATTGCAGTTTATCTCTTCAGATCTTTATATCTTTGCTTTATATATTTAGGTGCTCTGATGCTGAGTGCATATATATTTATAATTGTTATATCCTCTTGAATTGATCCCTTTATCATTATACAATGACCTTTGTCTCCTTGTATACATTACTTAAAATCTATTTTACCTAAGTATAGCTATCCCAGTTCTTTTGGTTTCCATTTGCATGGAATACATTTTCCATTCCTTTACCTCCAATCTATGTGTCTTTTTTTTTCTTTTCTTTTTTTTTTTTTTTTTTTTTGAGACAGAGTCTCACTCTGTTGCCAGGCTGGAGTCCGGTGGCGTGATCTCAGCTCACTGCAACCTCCACCTCCCTGCCTCAGCCTCCTGAGTAGCTGGGACTACAGGCATGTGCCACCACACCCAGCTATTTTTTGTATTTTTAGTAGAGACGAGGTTTCACCATGTTGGCCAGGATGGTCTCGATCTCTTGACCTCGTGATCCACCCGCCTCGGCCTTCCAAAGTGCTGGGATTACAGGCGTGAGCCACCACACCTGGCCCAATCTATGTGTCTTTAATGGTGAAATGAGCGTCTTGTATTCAGCCTAAAATCAGGTCCTTAAAAAATTCATTCAGTCCTTCAAAAGAATAGTGATGTCTTTAGTTTGGAGAATTTAATCCAATGATATTCAAGGTGATTACTGATAGGTAAGAATTTACTACAGCCATTTTGTTGTTTACCAGTTGTTTTGATAAATCCTTTGTTCCTTTCTCATCTCTTGCTGTTCTCCTTTGTGATTAGATGATTTTTTTTGCGTGACATGCTTTGATTCCTTTTTTTTTTTTTTAATCATTTGTGTATCTACTATAGGTTTTTGCTTTGTGGTTACCATGGGACTTACATAAAATAACAGCAATGACAGGCTATATTTTAAGCTAATAACTAAACTTGATCATATAGAAACACTACCATTTTTGTAGTTTTATGTTTTTGATGCCACAATTTAAATCTCTTTATATTGTATATTACTTAGAAAGTATTGTGGTTATAATTATAAAAGTTTTGTCTTTTAATCTTCTTACTAAAGAGATGTGATTTACACACCACCATTACAATATCTGAGTATTCTGTATTTATCTATGTACTTGCTTTTACCAGTGAGTTTTATACTTCATATGTTTTCATGTTACTAATTTAGTGTCCTTTATTTTCAGCTTGAATAATTCCCTTTAGCATTTATTAGTTTCAGGCAGGTCTAGTGGTAATGAACTCCCTCAGCTTTTGTTTGTCTGAGAAAATCTTTCTCTGTCTTTGGTTTCTGAAGGACAGCTTTGCCAGGTGAAATATTCTTGGTTGGCAGTTTTTTTCTTCAGCACATTGAATATATCATCCCACCCTTTCCTGGCCTGTAAGGTCTGTCCTGGGAAATCTGCAGATAGTCTTATTGATATTGTTCTTAATGTAATGTGCTTCTTTGCTCTTGCTGTTTTCAGAATCCTGTCTTGAAGTTTGATTATATGTCTTCATATAATTTAGATTGAATCTTATTGGAGACCTCTGACCTTTTCATAATAGTGTGTATTTATATCTTTCCCCAGATTTGGGAGGCTTTCAGCTATTATTTTTTTCAAATCAGGTTTTGAAAAACCCTCATCCTTATTTCTATAATACATTTGTTAGCTCTTTTGATGATGTCTCATAAATCCTGTAGTCTTTCTTCATTCCATTATTTTTTCTCCTTTGACCATATTATTTTGAAATAGAGTTCACACATATTTTTTTCTCCTGCTTGATTAGTTCTGCCATTCTCCTTTTTGCATTTTTCATTTCATTCATTGTATTCTTTAGCCCCAAAATTTGTTTGGTTCTTTTAGTGATTTCAACCTGTTAAATTTATCGTTTTGTTGATTTATTGTTTCCCTGATTTCATAGAACTGATTCTCTGTATTTTCTTGAAGTTCACTGAGATTCCTTAAAACAATTACTTTAAATTATCTGTAAGGCAGTGTATAGTCTCTATTTATTTGCAGCTTCTAGGAAATTATTGTTCTTTTGGTGGTAATATGTCTCCTTGATTTTTCATGTTTCTTGCTGCCCTGTTGATGTCTGTGCATTTGGTGGGGGTAGCCATCTCTTTCAGATTTTATGCACTGGTTTCAGTGGGGAAAGGCTTTCCCCTATGGGAGGGTGCTAGGCCCCTGGCTGGGTGAGGTGCAGTGGTTCTGGTTCCAGATAGGACACAGCAGTATAGTCTCCATGGAGTTCTGTCAGCTGAGGTCAAAGTGACAAAGATTGCAGGGATCCTCAGCAGCCAGTACTGTGAATGTCCACAGCAGAGGTGAGGGCTATTGGGATTGTCAGTGGCAATGGCTGCTAGGTTCTCCCAATCTCTTATTCTCCCACCAATGAATCTTTCGACAATGGGATCTCTTTTGGCACAAGGTCTGGCTTGTGGGCCTGCTCACGGTGGCAGTGGTACAGGTGTCTGATGAGTGGCATGTAAAGCAGCCATGGAGCCAAGTCTTGAAGTATGAGCATGAGCAGAGGGACTATGGCTCTGGGATCCAAGGCATTAATGGCATTGGTGCTGGGATGAAGGCACCCCCACTTGCATGTTGGTGCTTATGAAGTAATGGGTAAGCCAGGGAACCTGGGACAGGACTATGGGCATGAATAGAGCTACAGTGGCTGCAGGGTTAGGGATGCCAGCTAGCTCTCTATGGCAGCTAAGTTTGTACCCAGAGCATAGGCATGCATGGAGAGACCTTGGCTCTGGGACCCACACATGATCTAGCTTGCTATGGTTCTGGTGTATGAGACATGGGTACACAGAATAAACCCTCAGAGAAGGGGTCAGGAATGTGGGCACTTGTGGAACAGCCACAGCTCAGAGGTTGGAGGCATGCACAGGGATGGGAAATGTGGCAGCTCCAGTCCCAGAATAGCACAAGAGCAACTGATTCTTAGGGGTTATGGGAGTGTGCAGCCACATCTCCCTCTATGGGGTTCCTGGACAGGAATGGCTGTTGGTTACCTCTGTTGCAAAAGATGCCACTGTCCTCTGCAAAGCAGGCTCCTGGGAACCACAGCAGTTCACCTGTACAGCTGATACCAATATCCTCTGCATTTCTTCGTTCCTAACCATCTCCTGGTGCCTCAAGTATGCCAATTTCAACAGCAATCCTTTCTGTGGATATTCTTCTTTTTTTTCTCCAGTGTGTTGCGGCAGATTCTTAAATAGATCCTTGAGCACTATCAGGGCTATTCTGGTTTGTGAATGGCTATCTATATTTTTTTATGGGGAGATTAAGGCTTGTAGATCTACTACTCTGCCATATTGGTGACATCACTCCCAGGACTTCCTTAAAATGCCAGTGAATAGATTCTTAAGGTGGCCTCCATTATGTTCTAATCTTGGTTTTCACATCCTTGTATGACCCCATCCCCTTAAGTGTGAGGAGGACCTGTGACTTGCTTCTAAGCAATGCAGTAGTGCCCTCTTATGTGTGGGGGATATGTTCCAAGACCCCTAGTGGATCCCTGAAACCACAGACAGTACTGAACCCAATTGCCATTAATTGGAACACATTTCTGTTCATGTCTTCCACCCACAAATTTAATGCTTTTCCTGTCTTAACCAAGCACTTATGCACTGTGACTGTAACTTTTGCAGCTTGAGGTGTGACAGCAAAACTAGCACAAATTTGTTTTTCCTTCTTCACAATTTCATAGACGATTTGTTCTCACAGATCTTAGCAATCTCAACACATAATTTATTTTATCTCCTTACTAAGCCAAGAACTTTCACCTTTTCACTTAAAGGGGGCATTTTATAACTTCTCTTTGGCATATCTAAATTGCCAGCTCTTGAGCTTTGGGGCCATTATTAAAATAAGGGTTACTTGAACACAAGCACTGAAATACCACCACAATCAATCTGAAAATGAAGATGACTACTGAGTGACTAACGGGCACATAGTGTAGACTACTGGATATATCTTTATTCCTATACATGTTTTTTAGCTTTGTTCTGGAATTCAGTTAAGTGACTTGGAAACAGTTTGATCCTTTTGTCTCTTATATTTAAGATTTGTTTGTCAAGACTACTAGATCAATACTCAGTCTCTGAAAAATGATTCTATATTACTGAGACAATTATTCTATGCTACACACCACCATTACGTGTACTCTATCCAATTCCCAGTCAATCATGACATTTTCCATTCTAGCTTGTGGAAAATGTCACCTCTAACTCTTTTGGGGTAGGTCAATCTTGGCCTAGCCTCGAGTAGTTTCCTCAAGGCATGCACTAATCAGTGCACAGATGCTCAAAGGTGACCCTCTGCATACCTCTAGTGTTTTCTCTCTGTACAGCAATCCTTCCTCTAGTAATCTGTTTTTCTGACTTGGTCTATCTAGGCTCACAGCTCCATTTCCTCAACTTGGATAGTCAACAAGCTGTTTCCCAATCCTGGACTACAGCTTGGAAACTCTCTCAAAGCATTAAGAGAGGACAATTGTAGGACTCATCTCATTTGTTTCCCATCTCACAGGGATCATTGTACCTTGCTGTATGATGTCCCATGTCTTGAAATCATTGTTTCATATACAGTTTGTTTGTTGGTTGTTTTAGGCAGCAAGGTAATCGGGCCACTATCTTGTCTGGAAGCGTAATACTTGAGCTACTTCTTATGAAAAAGAAAGGCTGACTCAGGGTTAAAACAAGAGCACAGAGGACAGAGAAAAGAGCCACAGAATCTTCTCAAGAAGCAGGACAGATCACCTAATCAAGAAACTGGCAATATATACTTAATTTTAAAATTTCTAGTGAACAGTGACTGCTATATTCCTCCTATTTTCTTACTTTTCCATCAATGTGCCTACTGCAGTTAATGTATGTTTCTCTTACTATTGTGTTTGGTGAGTGTTTGTGTGGAGGTGGTGCAGATCTTATGTTCACAAATCTTCAGAGTGAGTGGAAGCACACCTGAGTAGTTTCATCTCCATCTGGGTCTGATTCAGATGAGACCTAAACCTCAAGCCTAAGCCTAGTTACTGACTGGGATGAAACTTTCTTGAGAGGATCTGAATATATTTTCATGTGGGAGAAATATAAATTTGTGGCCAGAGGGTAAATTGGTGTTCACACTCCTTCTATCAAGAGGTAGAATTATGACCCCACTTCTTGAATATACGTGGGCTCTGTGACAACTCTGACATACAGAAAATAATGATGCTGTGCCACTATCTGGGCCCAGGCCCCAAGATGGCACCTTCTACCTCTTAGGCCTTGGAACTGCCCTTTGGAATGGTTGTTCTGGGAGAAGCCAGAGCCATACAGCAAGTCCAACTAAAACAAAATTGCTATATATGGAGAAAGTCATACTAGCCAGTCTCTAGCTGCTCCAGTCATTCTAGCCCAGGCACCAGACATACGAGTGAAGGAACCATGTTGAATATTCTACACCAGCATATACCATATGGAGAACAGAGGACCTAGACATACAGCTTCAGTCATCTCCAGATGGGTTTAAACCACTCTAGCTGAGGCCCCAGACATCATGAAGCAGAGGCAAATCATCCAGCTGAGCCCGTATCAAATGCCTCACCTATAAAACACTAGATATAATAAAATGGCTATTACTATAAGCCACTAAGGCAGAGAGTTTTTATTCACTAATGTATCCCTTACATGCAGAACAGTGACTGGCATATTAAAGACACTGAAGTATTTGTTGTGAGCCAACTTAAAAATGGTATTTCTAGATCCCGTAGAAAGTGAGTGCAGTGGATAAAAAAATAAGGTTTGAAAGTAGGCATTTCAACATTTAGAGGTTGAGGAGATGAAGAGGAACCAGCAAAGGAGACTGAGAGAATACAACTAGTAAGAAAGAAGAATAAATAAGAAACAGTGTTCTAGAATCAAAGTAAAGAAAGTGTTTCATAAAGGGGAAATGATCAAGTATGTCATGGATATGCTGATAGATAAAGATGAGCACTGAGCTTTAATTCTGGATTTGCTAGTGTGGAAAGTCACCGATGACCTTGACCTGAAGAGTTTGGTAGAATGATGAGGGTGAAGTCGAACTTCATCCTCACTGCACTGAGAACAGAATTAGAATGGAGGAAGAGAAAACAGACTTTAAAAAAATGAGTTTCCTGTCAACTGGACACAGGGCTAGAGGGGAGATGCAATGCCAAGATTTGCTGTTGATATATTATATAAATATTTTTGTATGCTAATAAGAATAATCCTGTAAAGAAGAGCAAAAAATAATAATATAGAGAGAAGAGGCAATGTAGTAGTTGAGAAGGGATAAAATCCAGTACATAAATAAGTGGATTGGCCCTAGATAAGAAAAACAAAAAAATTTATCTGGAATTAGGAAGAGAAAAAGTAAGAGTTCACAGGTATACATGCAGGTATACTGACAAGACGTGCTACAAATTTCCTTCCATTTGCTTCTATTTTCTCAGTAAAATAGGAAGCACGGTCATAATCTGGGAATGAAGAGAGGGGAGATGTGAAATAGTCCTTTAGCACTGTACTCAAGTATACTTGGCACATATCTCACTTGAGAACTTATCACATTGTGCTATAATTATTTATGTATATATCTTTTTCCACTAAATTATAAAATAATTTAAGGTAGAGGAAGTACTTTTCATTTTTGCATTACCAGCACATAACACAGTGCTCTACAAACAAATGTTTGTTAATTTGCTGATTGAATAAATTAGTGTTATTGATTCCTTTAAGATTTGGAAGCAAAGCCAAGAGTTTTAAAATAGCAATCAATAAATACTGTCAAACATCTACTTCATATATATGCCTAAGTGTATGTTGCAAATATTCAAAAACTGAAAACATTAAACTTCAACTTATTTATGAAATCAAAAAAAACTACAGACAGAACACATACATTTTGCTTTTTAACATATTAGGGAAGCAATGAGATGCTAACATAAAACATACAGACATGGATGAAGCTGGAAACCACCACTCTCAGCAAACTATCACAAGAATAATCCAGCAAACTATCACAAGAATAGAAAGCCAAACACCGCATGTTCTCACTCATAAGTGGGAGTTGAACAATGAAAACACATGGACACAGGGAGGGGAACATCACACACCGGGGCCTGTCAGGGGGTCGGGGGGCTAGGGAGGGATAGCATTAGGAGAAATACCTAATGTGGATGATGGGTTGATGGGTGCAGCAAACCACCATGTCACATGCATACCTATATAACAAAACTGCACGTTCTGCACATGTACCCCAGAACTTAAAATATAATTTAAAAAAGAGAAGAAACAATGTGTAGAGTTATAAGTTACAGTGGAGCACACCTCACACTGAATCTAGGTATCCAACATTTCATACAAAAAGGTTCAGCTTCCAAAAAGCCAATAGCTGAAAAAAAAGTTACTACAACAATAATTTCCATTAAGAAAAAGAAAAGTAGGAGCACTCAAAACATAAAAACCCTATACTTACAAAATATGACTATGGTGTGAGTTGAGAACAAATAAAAATTACGTTCCTTGGATCAAGTAAGGGACAACAGAATGTCCCATACTCTCATCCAGGCATGGTGGCTCATACCTGCAATCCCAGCACTTTGGGAAGCTGAAACAGGAGGATAGCTTGAGACTAGGAGTTCAAGGCTACAGTGAACTATGATTGGGCCACTGCACTCCAGCCTGGGTGACAAAGCCAGACTCTGTCTTAATAAATAAAAACAAAACAAAAAGATAAATAAATAAAAACTCTCATTACTTAAGATTTTACGACAATCAGTACAACTCAAAACCAATGATTTGGCTATAAATTTTAACTTTCATGCAAACCCCAAACAACCCTAAAATATGTTATTTGGAAGAATTACTTTTAGAACCACCAAAATTCAAAGATACTATTTAAAAATCCAGAAATAAAAACAAATTTGAATCATACAAATTTTCAGTATCATTTAATTCTTTAATACTTTGGGGACATTTCCTTTTCCTTTAACAAAAAGAATAGAAGTGATACTATATACTGCTAGTAGAAAATTAAGAGCTTTTCTATAAAATCCTATGAAATTAAAATTAAATCGTCTTATTTTTAAAAATGCAAAAGAAGCCAGACAGTAGACTTAACAACCATGAAGCAGACCCACTTCCCTCTGAACCAAGGATTTCCTATGCTTTTTAGATATCCCTTCAGAAAAGGCCTTCTCTAAATTAACTGAACAATTCGGAATACCAAGAAGTAGGTAGAGAGCAGGAATGTGAGCAGATCATCGAATATATGTTTTTACTCCATGGTGACTAAAATGAAGTCCATAGATAGGAGCAGGTGAAGAAGAAAACAACACAATCTCCTGATGTACAGTTGTCACTGACCCAGAGCAGTCTGCTGCTGTGACTCTCTCTGCCTGTGACCTGAGGGTCAGTTGCTTCATTAGATGCAATGGAAATAAAACTGAACGGGATCTGAAGAAAAATTTTAAAATGGAAGGTACACCTCAATAGTTTTTACTTTTGGTGAAGTCATATGGTTTCCACCACTGAGCAAACTGCAGTGCTTTTTTCCTCTGATCCTCAAAGCTTTCTCGGATGCCTTTCCTCCAAAGTCTTGGTTCTATATCCAGCATCCCACCTATGATTTCCTTTTAAAGAAAGAGAAAAGCACAAACACAAGCATGTATAAATAATGAAAACAGAAATGAAACTATTTCTGTTTATTCTGCTATAAAATATAACAAGTTCTTCTCCATGACAATGTTCAAGCATAAATACTAGTTGAAGTTAAAAAAATATGTTTTCAGTTAATTCTAACTAGGCAAACCGTGTGATTCTAAGAGTCCAAGTTAGCTGCATCTCCTATCAAGCAATTTGTCCATTTTGTTGCTTATTAGCACATCTACTAGATGGTAACAAAGGGGAGGGAAAACAAGTGAAATTTAATTAATATGATCTCTATTAGAGGCTCCCGTAAACAATTTTGCAAAAATGTTAATCAACTTCTAGCAATTATTAACTTTACTGCTCAACTGCAGTTGAATCCCAAGCTAATGTTCTCTCTCTGCTACCAAGTATATTTATAAATTAGTTTCTTCCACTATTAGCAGAAATCTTTTTTCATGAAACAAAATCCTATTGTAATACTAGTTTAAGTAAACCTATTGATAGAATTAAAAATTATATATCACTTTCATTTAAAAAATCACATTCTCAAGTCCCATAATAAATGGCTTTTTGGTTATCTGATTATTATTCTTGATTTCCTTCATGATCCTCTTCCTGTGCTGTTAGCTATAGAAATAAATCAAATTTAGGCATGTGAGTATCCATGAACAGAAAGACATGGGGGAGCCTCCTAATGCTTAAATGCTTAGAGGGAGGGCAGTATGGTAACAAAGCAAAAAACAAAAAACAAAACAACAACAACAAAAAACAGACTAAGGATCAAATTCTGCATAGTCGGTCTAGCTCCACCAGACTGTGTGGTGAGATCCTGCACAAACCACATAATCTTTCAGATGCAGGTTCTTCATCTTACTTAGGGACCTACTATGCAGAAGCAAATGCCGTATGTTGTAGGGGATACAGAGATTGTGGGGTGAAGACACACAGTTGTCTTCAGACAGAATAGAATCTGGAGCTGTGGTGGGAGGAATAATAATCCAGCTATGCAGCAGACTGTCTCATAAAGTAGAAGGTAAGTGTCAAAGCAGACCATTTGTGGAGACTCAAAAAAAAAAAAAAAAAAACAATCTATTTGTTGGCCAGACCAGGAGATGCTTCATGGAAAAGGGAATCTCCTGTCATCAGGGAAGGGAAATAAAGGGGTCAACAGAGATAGTAGAAAAGAGAAATAGGGCAAATTGAGATTTAGTTCAAGAGTTTCTCAGCATCGGTCCAAATAAGCAATGTAGTTTAAGAAAGCCTAGCTTATAAAAGTTTACCTAAAATTGTCTATAAAATACCAAGTTTTGTCTTACATCTACCATATAAGCTTGACTCTTGTTCTGTTATCAAAGCAGCTGTTAATGGAAAGACTATCCCCATAATCTCTTCTTGCTCTCTGAACAACTGCTTCAGCAGCAGACTGCAGGGAGGTCTTGAGCCCACAGGCTATTTCTTAAAAAGCAAATTTTGAGGAAAATGGCTCAGTGACGCAATGCTGACAGAGAAAATTTACTTTTAACTCCAAAACTGAATCATATAAACCAGAATGCATGAATAATATGTGAAGAAAGGGCAATCTCCCAGTTTAATATATACAACTTTTTAAAAATGGATATTTTACTTCCTTTTTTCTAGGACCAAATTTTTGTTTTGTTTTGTTTTTCTGTTTTTGTTTTTAATAAATCCAGCCATAGAGCTTTTGGTTATAAAGCTCTACTGTATAACAACAGGATTTTTCAGAACAGTGAAAACACATTTCTTTCTAGTTAAAAAAAATTCTGAACACTTCTCAAACTTGTTTCTGTAATATGTTATAACAGTTCAAAGATGCATGTTACTTTGTTATGCTGGTTAACCCACTAAGGACAAGAGCATTAAAAAGTTTTGAATCAAACCTCTGGAGTTGAGATTCCTCTTCAGATATTTCTACTCATTGCAGAAGATGTTCCTCTGCAGGAGATGAAAGTGGGGAGCAGGGTGGAGAACAGGGAATCCCAAGCAGAGTTCACCAAGGCCCCTCTTTTTCAGAGGGCCTGGCTACATAGGGATAAATATGAATGGAAAGGCCTGATCTATACTAGATTAAAGGCTCACTTCTAGAGCAATCATTGCCCAGACTACTTTTGACTGTTTCAGTTGCTGCATTAACTTTATTCCAGTTCCTGACACTATTCTGTAGACTTTAATTTAAAGATTATACCCCACAGAATATAAGAAGGCAATCTGTGGTAGTGAATCAAAAGATCTGTATGCTAATATCTGCCCAGAAACTATCAGCGTAAAATGAGTCATGTGTTCTTCTTGGGCTACGCCTTGCTTAATTATAAATGAAGATGAGAAAATTGGTTCTCTAGTTCAACCATGACTATATGTACTCCTAGTTCTACCACTTATTAGCGCATTACCCTGGGCAAGTTACCTAATCTCTCTGTAGCTCAGTTTCTTCATCTGTAAAGTGAAATTTATAATAATATCCACACAATAGGATTATTGTGAGCATTAAATGAATGCTTAGAACAGTAGCTGGCACACTGTAAGCCCTTAATAAGTTTTAACAATTATCATCATTCTCAACACAAGCCTGGCTTCCTCCAAAAACAACCATTATAGTAATTGTTGACACCGTCAAGAAATGTTTGGTTCCAAAGTAACATTCCTGGCTCTGTTATATACATTCTGGGATATTTTTATTAATAGTTGCTAGGTATTCCCTCTCTAAAAACTGGGTGGAGCAGTACTCACCAATTTCTTTGTATACTGTGCCCAAAGTTTTTATTTCCTTTCAAAAGAAAAATGTTACCAAATTGCTAACTCTGGGATTTTATCAAATTTGTAAGCCTACCTTTCCAAAGTAATGAGGGAATTTGTGCTGATCTTCAATGACATGGGCAAACCCTCCGTGAAGGCCAAAATCCACAGAGAAGTAAGGTAACCCTCTGGGTACCTAAATAAACAGACAAATCACAAATGGAATACAGTATGAAACCAGAAAGTTATGTTTAATCCCTCCCCTCTTCTCTGGAAGGACAGTAATCTTAAGCATTCCTCAAGACAAATGTATAAAATGAATTTCCAGTTCTAGAGATATTTAAACAATGACCTAACTTTCTGAGTAAAATATCTCATTTTGGTAGCCTTTCAGCCAGATAGTTCATCATTATCTATGAATTATAATCAAAACCAACTATTTTGCTGTCCTTGGGGAAAACCAACGGGGGAAATTATACTTTTAAAAATACAAATGCAAAGAATAATTTCCCTTAGACTACACAAATAGAGAATAAGTATATGCCTTCTTGTATTCCACTCACAATGGAGAACAGCAAGAGGGACCTTGCACATACTTAGAGCTCTCCTTGAATCTTTACAGTTATATATTTATCAAAGATAAATTATACAAAAACAATCATAATTTTTTACGAGCTGGTGAAGTGGATACAGCAACACTTAGTTTACCAGCCTTATTTCAAAATATCTCCAGGATTAAATCCCTACTGTCTTTTTCTCTCCCTTCCTTACTCTTTCCTTCCCTCCCTCTCTCTTTCTCTCTCTACACACACCCCCCCCACCACACACACACACACACACACACACACACACACACACACACACACTTTAAACTATTTCATGACTAGGAAAAGCCACAAATTCTTGTTTTCTCTATCAATTAAGTAGATTTTGTGTCCTTGCAAGTTTTGCTTCAAAGCCCAAACTTTGCCACTAGAAATTATCCAAGTGGGTCATTTATAGCAACATTTCTCCTCTCTAATTCCCTCATATAGTCTGTACTTACTTATTTGGGCAGTGAATCACATGGTCCTACTTAACCATACAAATTGTGTATTGTGTCCTTTTTAAAAAGGCACAATGTAGAAGGGCACAGTATGATATAGTGGAGAGTGGTCACCTTGAAATATTATAAGGCAACTAAAATTAGGGCTTATAAAAAGTTTTTCATGTTATTTAAAAAGCACACGTAAAAATCTGTTCACGAAATAGTATATAACATTAAATATGGAGAAATGGGATACCATTTGTGGCTTTAATTTTTCTATATTTCCACATTTTTAAATATAATAATCATGTTATGACCTTGACTATTAGGAAAAAACAAAGTAAAGGAGATAGACAAGGCTCCAATTGCAACTCTGATTCTTATAAGTGTGTTACCTCAGACAAGTTAATTAACATCTCTGAGTCTCATGAGAAACATGAAGAAATGCCCTAGTCCTCAATTCGCCATGAATATACTGCCTTAGGTGACAAAAGGGACTTTGCAGATATTATTAAGGATCTTGAAATGAGGGGATTTTCCTGGGTTATCCAGATAGGCCCAATGTAATCATAAGGACACTAATAAGAGAGATAGGAAGGTCAGAGTCAGAGAAAGATGGAAGATACTACACTCTTGGCTTTGAAGATGAAGGAAGGGGCCATAAGCCATGAATGCAGGTGGCTTCTAACAGCTAGAAAAGGCAAAGGAATGGATTCTTTCTAGGGCCTCCAGAAGGAATGCAGGCATGCTGACACCTTGATTTTAGCCAAAAGAAACCCACTTTGTACTTGCGATCACCAGATTTTTGAAATAAATCTATGGCGTTTTAGGCCAATATGTTTGTGGTAATTTCTTACAGCAGCAATAGGAAACCAATATACATGCCAAGGCTCAACAACCTATGGCATATTTGCCAAGACGGCACAATGAACACACTACTACTTTCACACAAAGGCAACTGCTGTCACAAGCTTCTCTATTCTCTCCCTGCAGGCTGCAAAAAGGTACAACCTGCTGCTTGCTAGAAGAGTTGTTAGCAGGCATTGCAAAGGCTCTAGTATCAAAGTGTATGTACATTTAGCACTTCCTTTTTTCTGCACTGGCCAGTCAGAGGAAATGCATTTGGAACTCTGGCACCACTCTTTAAAGGCACTGACAGAATTAAAGCAAAACTTTTTATTTATGGTAGAAAAATAGACATATTTGGATTTTTCACTTTTATTCCAGATGTTACTCCTGACTTCTTATAAGTATCCTTGAATTTGAAGGCCTCTGGTAAACCCACATTCTCGTGAGAAGTGCTTTCCTTAGTTTAGAACATCAATTTCTAAATGTTGGATGTTTTTTCAATTGCTATAGTTATCACAAAATTAAACTTAAAATACCATTTTTTAAAGTTCAGAAAGAATTCTCATGCAATCTCACTAAAACAGCCTTGTGAAAAATGACTGCTTTTCTCGACAGTTACTTATTATCATGCAATTCCTCTGCATTGAACACTCAGATCTGTTTTTCCTGTTTATTTCCATGAACCTCACATTACACTGAAAAGAAAGCAAATGGGCCAAAGAAAATGAACAAAATGGGCAGATAAAGAGAAGCTTACCTTCATACAGCAAAGAAAAACATAAATTTGTAAAAATCAGAATGGATTACATATACGTGAATCTCTATTATAAGCCAAGAATTTACACAGTGAAAAAAAAAAACCACCCCACCCTGAAGGATGCAGGCAAAATATTTCATGAAATTATTAAGGACATAAAGTTTTTAAAAGAAGTATAATAAGGTTCTTTCAGAAGTAATAATAATGTTAAAATAACTCAGTATTGTTCATTTCATGTTCAAAAATACTTTTATTAATTTTTGAAAAGATAATGGAAAGTTTATTAACCAAAAAGTGACCTCCTTTGGAATTTTTCTTATACTTATGTACTCTTCTCATTCTTACTTCCATCCACATAATTATAAAATCTTAAAGCTAAAAGGGGCTGGGCGCAGTGGCTCACACCTGTATTCCCAGCACTTTGGGAGGCGGAGGCGGGCAGATCACGAGGTCAGGAGTTCGAGACCAGCCTGACCAACATGGTGAAACCCTGTCTCCACAAAATACAGAAATTAGCCTGGCGTGGTGGTGCGCTCCTGTATTCCCAGCTACTCAAGAGGCAGACGCAGGAGAATCACTTGAACCTGGGAGGTGGAGTGATCGTCACTGGGCGACAGAGCTAGACTCTGTCTAAAAAAAAAAAAAGGTAAAAGGGATCTCAAGAGGTCATCTGGCTCATCCTTCATTGACTGTAACCCTCAGCTAGTCTCAGATACAATACTATGTGATGCCTTAATAAAGGCAATTGCTGCTATCTTTGAAATCCTTTAAAACTGAATATACAACTGCCATTTTTACAGTATCTGTGTTTCTTATGTTTCATAATGTTAAGTTAAAATATTAAGACCTCCTGGCTACTTAATTCAGGTACTCATGGAGCTTTTAAAAAAGAAACAAATAATAAGATACTAGACATTTCACCAGTAAGAAAATGTATACACAGTATAGAAAACGGGGACTAATAAATCAAATTTTTTTCTCCTTTGAAATATTTTCAACTGTCATTAAAACTATGTTGTGAAAGAATACTTAACAGCATGAGAAATTATAACATGAGAAGTGAAAAACGTAGCACAAAAGATGTACGTACATTAAATGCCTTTTTCTATAGGCACAAAAAGGAGAGAAGTAAACAGTACATTTAGAGTTTTTGTTTTGTTTTACTTTGTTTTTTAATATGTTGTCTGGCCCAATTCACCAGCAGAGAAGAGAAAATGATTGTAGATAATGTTGTACCTCTAAAATAAAACTATGTATCTTGAATAATGTAATAAAATGGAATCTTTTGACTGGAATATAATAAGTGTAATAAGGAATCCTATTAGTTACGTGACATGTAACAGGAGTCTGGCTTTCCAAAAGAAGAAATGGGGGAGAAGTATTCCAGTGACACCTACTAGAATAGGGACTGGCAAACTTTTTCTGAAAAGGACCACATAATAAAATACTTTAGGCTTCGCAGGTCATACGTTCTCTGTAGGGACTACTCAAATCTGCCCTTGTACCATGAAAGCAGCCATAAGCAATACCTAAGCAAATGAGTGTGGCTGTGTTCCAATAAAAGTGCATTTACACAAACAGGCAGAAGACTGGGTTTAGCATGCAGGGCTTGAGTTGCCAACCCCAGCACTAGACTATAATCTCCATCAAGTCTGGAATCTTTCTGTTTTGTTCCACTGTGTACCAAAAGCATCTTGAACAATGCCTGGTAAATATCAGGCACACAATAAATATTTGTAGAATAAACTACTTTTTGAATAGAAAAACAAAAACGAACCACACTTCTATTAAATCTCTATTCCATTCCATTTAATTTGTATTTCTAGAAAAGAGAAAAAATCATTACCAGACGTGCTCAACTTAAGTGTAACTTGTACATAAAAGCTGATCTACAAATAAAGATTAAACTATGAGGTATGATTAGGCAAGTCTCCAAAAGAACCCACAATCTAACTCAACTACTATTTTATAGTTTTATAGGAACATAATAGTGAACCTTTGTATAAGAAAAAGAAAATGAGTTCCAAATTCAAAATGGAACATCTAGGAAAATTTTTCTCTCAGTATAATTGCAGAACAATATATTTCAGGAAGGCCCTTCTCACCATTTGTCCCACAGGGGCTGAGAAGCTCACCACAGCAGTTCTCACGGCAGACTCTAATAGCTGCCATAGCCAATTATAGGGACTACAGTGGCAGAAGGCCAAAGGTCAGGAAGAAACATTCATGTGAACAAATAAAAACCCTCTACAAACAAATAAGCATTTTCTAGACCAGGTAGGATAAAAATAACTTCATTTGTCGAACTAGTAATTTCGCCTTCAGTCACTCAACCAAATGGTCCCTTTGTCAACTAAGACATGGAAATTAATAAAGATCCTGAGCACTAGGGTAATTTCTTTTACCAGGAAAAAACATACTTACAGACTTTCTGATATCTTTTGAAGAGAGATCTATCAACTTCTTGTTCATGGACCACTCTTCATCAGATTCCATTATGGCTTTCTAAGAAATATCCATTTGTTAAGTGAAAAAAGAACATGTAAGTAAATAAAAAGAAACAGCTTATAACAAGTAATATAGCAAATTAATTATGGGGTATATTATACATAGTAAGCCATTATTCTGAACTGATTAAGGCTTTTAGTTATTTAAAATAAGAACTTCTTAAATTTTTGAAATCTTACCATTAGCCAAAGATAATATTCTTTTACTCATTCTTAACTGTTATACTAACTTGAGCTCAACTTTACATGGCAATCCTTAATAAGACCAATCAATTTAATATGAAACATAATTTGTGATCATAAAGTTCCATTTATAGCACTGCATTCATAGAGATTACTAAATAAATTCATTTAGTTTTACTGCTCTTCTTCCAAAAGGCAACAGAGTAATTTACATGTTTTCTAGCAACCAAGGTCTTGAACTATTTCTGCTCATATAATGAAGAAGTAAAAATACAGGAAAAAAAATGTGCTCTAGAAAATAAAGCCTATTTTTTAAAAGTCCAGGAAGCATAAGTCTATTTCAAGCAGATAGCAACTTAACTTTGATTGCATGCAACTCAATGCTTTTATTTACCCCTCACACATTTTATGTTTTTGATGTCAGAATTTATATAACTATAATTTGTCAATTTGTAATTTAAAAAATAAGAATTTTTTAAAATGTAGGGAGAAAATACATAGAAATGGAGTAAGACTTCCTATGCTAAGCAATGTGACTACTATTTATGGTAAAGAAATATTTAAAAGAAAGAAAAGCCAGAGTGATAAATATAAAATAACCTCATGTTTTTACAGTATTGTTATTAATGAAGCAAATTTTAAAGATAAAATAACATTCAAATAAGTTCTATTTAAATAGAACAGATACAGTGCTATTACCTATTTAAAAGGCACCAGTTGCTTGGCTTGACACTGTAATATAGCACATTCAATATAAAAGCATCTTCAATGATCACATAAAAGGTTTAGTGTAGGCCAGGTGCAGTGGCTCACGCCTATAATTCCAGCACTTTGGGAGGCTGAGGCGGGCAGATCACGAGGTCAAGAGATCGAGACCATCCTGGCCAACATGGTGAAACCCCATCTCTACTAAAAATACAAAAAATTAGCTGGGCGTAGTGGTGCATGCCTGTAGTCCCAACTACTCAGGAGGCTGAGACAGGAGAATTGCTTGAATCCAGGAGGCAGAAGTTGCAGTGAGCCAAGATCAGGCTCTGTCACCCAGGCTGGAGTGCAGTGGTGCCATCACAGCTTACTGCAACCTCCGCCTCCTGGGTTGAAGTGATTCTCCTGCCTCAGCCTCCTGAGTAGCTGGGACTACAGGTGCCCACCACCATGCCCAGTTAATTTTTGTATTTTTAGTGAAGATGGGGTTTTATCATGTTGGCCAGGCTGGTCTTGAAGTCCTGACCTCAGGTGATCTCCCCACCTTGGCCTTCCAAGTGAGGCACTGTGCCCGGCCTATTTCATTTCTTTATATAAATTTTGATGTAAGTATATAGGAGAAAAATATGTTAATAAAGACAACAATATTTGTAAAATAGCACTATAGCAAAAAATAAGTGTATATGCAAAGACTACTTATAAACACCTTAAAATAGATGGGAGCCATGTCACCCACTTCCTTGGGAAGAGGAATACATTCATAAACCATGTGATACTGTTTCTTCATGCTCATATTAGTTTCCAAAAAAATGCAGTCTAATCCTTTATCTTCAAACATCTTTACCAATGATTTTCTGAACATCTAAAAAAAAAAAAGAACTAGGTAAAGAAAACACTTAAAGGAGATTCAAAATCAAGCATATTCAAGATATTTGAAATATGAAAACTTTAATAAAAAAGTACAAATCCCTTTAAAATGAAAAATAAATAAAATAAACAGTAATATCTGAACTCTGCAATGTTATAGTTACTTTACTTTCTAAATCTACTATATAATTTCATATATTTAAGCAAGACTTTTAAAAAAACTGAAACCCACTATGTATATATTAGAAATAGTTTCAGTAAAATGAGAGAAAGAAGTGATAAAAATCAAATTTAGGTGGTAAAATATGCAGAACTGACAGAACAATCATAGGAAAATATCCATAAGCCAAAAGAGATACTCTGAGCAGATGGGCATCCTTAAACTCAGAAATACATGAGAATTCACTTCCAATTGTTTTCCTATGCTCATAGCATCTGCATTTGTTGGTTCCCTATGTCTGCTGACCCATCACTAATAACCTTGTATATTCAGGTAGTCCTCTATTTTCACATATAATGCAGTCCTATAAAGCATATGAAAGCCAAATACACTAAAGTTGAAAAGTAATAGGGTTTTCTCTTCCCAAGGAACTAAGTATTATTATACAACTATACACACAAATATAATCAGTTGTGGAGGTGTGTGTTTTGTGTGTGTGTGTGTGTGTGTGTGTGTGTGTGTGTGTGTGTGTATTTCACACTCCTAGGCCTAAAGGGCAGCTGTTTGTAGAGGGTGACTGAATAGAGCTGAGTGGTCCAGGATGTCTGCATGCATTCACATGACACCCCCTGTAGTACAGGATGGAGCTAGGGATCGAAAGAAAGGGGAACAGGCTGAAGGCTGGATGCCAGAGCCCAGCTCCGTCCACATCACCATGTCTTACTGTGAACCCCTCAAGCTGTCTAAGAATTCTGGATGAGCGCGGTGGCTCATGCCTGTAATCCCAGCACTTTGGGAGGCCGAGGTGGGTAGGTCACCTGAGATCAGGAGTTCAAGATCAAGTTGTCTAAGAATTTTAAACTAAAGTTGGCCTTGTAAGAGTTTATGAAAGTATATTTAAGTAGGAAGATAAAATGTATTTTATTTAGATTTGTCAGCTTGATTTATAACTTTTTAATATTTTATTTAAACATTTTGTTTTGAGGTAATTACAGATCACATGTAGTTATAAGAAATAATACAGAGAGATCCCATGTATGCTTTACTCAGTTTCCCCAAGGTAACATCTTATAAAACTATACTATAATATCACAACCAGGATATTGACATTGATATAGTCAACACTGAGAGCAATTCCAACACTGTCCATAAAGATCTTCTGTTACCCTTTTACTTTCTCTTCTCCTTTTATTTTTAGAGATGTGGTTATGCTATGTTGCCCAGGCTGAAGTACCAGTGGCTATTCACAGGTGTGATCATAGCACACTACAACCTCGTCGTACTCAGGCTCAAGCAGTCCTCCCCCATTAGCCACCTGAGTAGCTACTCAGGGACTAAAGGTGCACCACCATGGCCAGCTCCTGTTACCCTTTTACAGTCACAGTCATTCCACACCCTATCCAGTCCTCATTCCCTTCTTCTACCTTCCCCTTAATGTGTTCCTGATTTCTTTAATTCTGACATTTCAAGAATGTTACATGAATAGAACCATGTAATCTTTTGAGGTAGGCTTTTTTCTTTTTTTTTCTTCAACTGTTACTTTAAGTTCTAGGATACATGTGCAGGATGTGCATGTTTGTTACATAGGTAAACGTGTGCCATGGTGGTTTGCTGCACAGATCATCCCGTTACCTAGGTATTAAACCTAGCAACCATCAGTTATTCTTCCTGATGCTCTCCCTCCTCCCACCTCCCACCCACCGACAGGCTCCAGTGTGTGTTGTTCCCCACCACCATGTGTCCAGGTGTTCTCATCATTTAGCTCCCATTTATAAGAAAGACCATGTGGTGTGTGGTTTTCTGTTCTGGCATTAGCTTGCTAAGGATAATGGCTTCCAACTCCATCCATGTCCCTGCAAAGGACATGATCTCATTCCTTTTTATGGCTGCATAGTATTGCATGGTGTATATGTACCACATTTTTTTATCCAGTCTATCATTGATGGGCATTTAGGTTGATTCCATGTGTTTGCTATTGTGAATAGTGCTGCAATGAACACATGTGTGCATGTATCTTTATAACAGAATGAATTATATTCCTTTGGGTATATACCCAGTAATGGAATTGCTGGGTCAAATGGTATGCCTCTAGGTCTTTGAGGAATTGCCACACTGTTTTCCACAATGGTTGAACAAATTTACACTCCCACAAACAGTGTATAAGCGTTCCTTTTTCTCTACAACCTCACCAGCATCTGTTGTTTTTTGACTTTTTAATAGTAGCCATTAGGCTTTTTTCAATTAGCATATTCTCTGGAGATCCACCCAGGTTGTTTCATGCATCAACAATTCATTCTTTTTCATTGCTGGGAGTATTCCTGATATGGATGTGCCCAGTATGTTTAACCATACACCTTTACAGAATATCTGGGGTGTTTCCAGTTTTTAATTATTACAAATAAAGCTGCTATGAACATTTGTGCACAGGTTTTTGGGGAAATATAACTCCATTTCTCTGGAATAAATGCCAAGAAGTGCAAGAGTTGAGTCCTATGATAGTTGCATATTTCATATTTTTAAAAACTGCCAAACTGTTTTCCAAAGTGGTCATACTATTTTACATTTCTACCATTAACAGAAGAGCAATTCTGTTTCTCCATATCCTGGCCAGCATCTGGGGTTGTCAATGTGTTTTATTTGACATTTTGATAGGTCTAATTTATCACTGTGATTTTAATTTGCATTTTCCTAAGGGCCAATGATATTAAATATCATTTTTATATGCTTATTTGCCATCTATTAATATAGATCCTCTTCAGCAAAATGTTTCATGATGTTGTTTATCCCTTTTTTTTTTTTTTTTTTGAGATGGAGTCTCGCTCTGTCACCTAGGCTAGAGTGCAGTGGTGCGATCTCAACTCCCTGAAGACTCTGCCTCCCAGGTTCGGGTGATTCTCCCGCCTTGGCCCCCCCACAACAGCTGGGATTACAGGTGTGCACTACCATGCCTGGCTAATTTTTGTATTTTTAGTAGAGTCAAGGTTTCGCCATGTTGGCCAGGCTGGTCTCAAACTGCTGACCTGAGGTGATCCACCTGCCTCAGCCTCCCAAAGTCCTGAGATTACAGGCGTGAGGCACTGCGCTCAGCCAATTTCCTAATTGGATTGTTTTCACTGTTTTGACATTCTAGATATAAAAATATTCTTTATATATTCTAGATACAAATCCATTGCCAGGTATGTGGTTTGCAAATATTTTCTCCTAGTTTATAATTTGTCTTTTCATCTTCATATCAGAGTATTTTGCAGAACAAAAGTTTTTAATTTGACAAAGCTCAATTTATCAATTTTTGTTTCCATGGATTATACTTTTGGTGTCAAGTCAAAGAACTCTGTGTACCCAAGATCTTGACAATTTTATCTTGTTTTTCTCCCAAAAGTTTTATAGTTTTGTACCTTACATTGGAGTGCTGTGCTCCACTTTACACTGGAGGGCTGTGTGCCGTTTTGAGTTAATATTTATATAAGGTATGAGGTTTAAGCTGATACTCAAGTTTTTTGCTATGCATGTCCAATTGCTCCAGCACCATTCACTGAAAAGGCTATCCCTTTTACACTGAATTGCTTTTGCACCTTTGTCAAATTCAGTTGAGAATATTTGGTTGTGTCTATTTCTGGGTTGTCTATTTGGTTTAATTAATCTATATGTCTATCCCTCCACCAATATCACATAGTCTTGATTACTGTAGATATGTAATAATCTTGCTTATTATACATCTCCAGTAATCAGGTAAGGCTGATTCTTGCAACTGTATTCTTCTTGTTCAAAATTATTTTCACTATTTTGGTTCCTTTGCCTTTCCATATAAAGTTTAGAATAATTCTATCTATACCTACAAAAAAATCTTGCTGGCACTTAGATAAAAATTGTGTTAAACTAGTATATTAATTTGAGGAAGACTGTCATCTTTACTATGTTGACTCTCCTAATCCATAAACATGATATATCTACATTTATCTTATTTTTGAAATTTCTCTTAACAGTGTTTTGTAGTTTTTAGCATACAAAATATGGACACGTTTTGTTAGATTTGTACCTTCGTCCATCCTCAGTATTTGTGGATTCCATATTTACAAATTTGTCTTCCAAATCAATTCTCATGGCATTTTTGAGATCTTTTACAGACAACTGCAGAGTGGTGAAAAAGTTGAGTCATCCGACATACACCTTCCCAACCAAAGTTGAACAAAGCAATGGTCTGCCCTGTTTCAGTTCTCAATGTAAACAAGTGTGCTTTCCAGGGTCTATTTAGTGCCACATTTCCACATATTTGTGCTTTTTGTTTTTGATTTCTCTGTTCAAACTGGACCCTAAGCACATTACTGAAGTGCCATCTGGTGTTCCTTAGCACAACATTGTGATGTGATGTGCCTTATGGAGAGAACAAACTTTAGATAAGCTTCCTTCCGGCAGTCTTTAATCTTTGATTTTGAGAGTTTTTATCATAAATGAGTAGGAATTTCATCAAATGCTTTTTCTTCATTGATTGATATGAACATGGTGGATTATAATGATTTATTATCTAATATTGAACCAGTCTTTCATACTTGGTATAAGCCCTACTTGGACATAGTGTGTTATTGTTTTTATATATTGCCAAACTCTATTTGCTAATATTTTGTTGATAATTTTTACATCTCTATTCACATAGGATATTGAGTTGTAGCTATTTTATTTAACTGTCTTGTGGTATGAGGATAACACTAACTTACGGTATCAGGATAATACAAACTCCCAATATGAATGAATTGGAAAGTGTTCTTTCCTCAAGAGATTATATAAAATTGGTGTCAATTCTTTAAAAGTTTCATAAAATTCTCCAATGAAACCATCTGGGTTTGGAGATTTAATTTTTTAGAAGTTTTACATTATGAAGTCTACTTCCTTATTAGTTAAAAGATTGTTCAAATTGTCTGTTTCATATTGAGTGTGTTGTAACAGTTTGCATTTCAAGGAACTGGTCCATTACATCCAGAGTTGTTCATATTATTCCCTTATTATCTTTTTGATGACTGCAAAATCTGTACTAATACTGTTTTATTTCTGATATTGGTAACTTGTTTTTTCTCATTTTTTTTCCTTTGTTGGTCTTGCTGGAAGTTTATTAATTTATTTTTTTAAAAACCCCAACTTTTGTTTCATTGATTTTCTCTATGATTTTTCTGTTTTCAATTTCATTGATTTCTGCTCTTATCTTTATTATTTCTGTCCTTTTGCTTGCTTTGGATGTACTTTGCTCTTCTTTTTCTAGGTTCTTGAGGTGAAGGTTTTTCCTCTTTTCTATAAGTATTTAGTGCTATAAATTTCTCTCTCGGCACTCCCTTAGCTGTCCCTCATAAATCTTAACATGTTGTAATTTCATTGTAATTCAATTAGATTATTATTTCTTAAATTTCTCCTGAAACTTCTTTTTAAAGTTGTTGAATAATACACTATTGAAGTGTATTATTTAATTTAACATGTTGTAATTTCATTGTAATTCAATTAGATTATTATTTCTTAAATTTCTCCTGAAACTTCTTTTTAAAGTTGTTCCATAATACACTATTGAAGTGTATTATTTAATTTCCAAGTATTTGGGAATTTTTTGATTATCTTTCTGTTATTAATTTCTAGTTTGATTCCACTGTGATCAGAGAATGCACTCTGTATGATTTCAATTGTTTTAAATTTGCTGAGATTAGTTTTGTGGCAAGATAGAGTCTATGCTCTGAAAAAAATGTTTTCTAATATTGTTAAGTGGAGTGTTATACAAATATTGATTAAATCCTGCTGACTGATGGTTATAGCAGGCTGACTAATGGCCCCCAAGATATCCAGGTCCTATTCCCAAGAACCTAACAACATTACCATATATGGCATAAGAGACTTTTCAGATATAACTAAGAATCTTGATACAGGAAGATTATCCTGGATTGCCTGGGTATATCTTAAATGTAATTAAAAGTTTCCTTATAAGAGGGAGGCAGAGCAAGTTGTGACTGAAGAAGAGGAGAAGGCAATATGATGACAGAAGCAGAGACGGAAATGATGTAGCCACAAGCCAAGAAATGCTGGCAGCCCCTAGAAACTAGAAGAGGTAAGGAATAGATTCTCTTCCAGAGTCTCCAGAAGGAACCAGTCCAGTAGATACCTTGATTTTAGCCCCATAAGACTCACTTGGAATCTGATCTCCAGAACCATAAGAAAATACACTTCTACAGTTTTAAGGCACCATCTCTGTGGCAATTTGTTACAGCAACAATAGGAAACTAGTGCAATGGTGTTTTTAAGTTCTTTTATATCCTTGATGACTTTCAGTCTGGTTGTTCCACCAGTTGTTAAAATGAGGTGCTGAAGTCTCTAACCATAATTATGAATTTGCCTATTTCTCCTTTCAGTTCATTCAGTTTCTGTTTTACAGACTTTGTGCCTCAGTGTTGGTGTACACACATTTAGGACTGCTATGTCTTCTCGGTGGATTGACCCTTTCATCATTATGTAATGCCCCTCTCTTCTTCGGTAATTTCCTCTGCTCTAACGTCTACTTTATCTGGCATAAATGCTTTCTTTTCATTAATGGCTGCATAATATATATTTTTCCAACCTTTTATATTATTCTACTTGTGGTATTATTACATTTGAAGAGTTCTTGCAGACAGCATATAGTTATGAAATCTCCTCTACCAAACTATCTTTTAACTGATATACTGTTTATTGATATAGTAGAGATATTCTATTTTTATTTTTTTTGTTTTCTGTTTGTTCTTTCTATTGTTTTTCTGGTTCCTTTCTCTTGCCTTCCGATGGTTATTTGAACATTTTCAGAATTCCATTTTGATTTATTTAGTGTTTTTCAGTCTGTCAATTTGTATAGTTTTTAAAGTGATTCTAAGAGTTGCTTTAAGGCATTACATATACATACATATATATTTAATCACAGTCTACTGGGGCCATTTTACCAATGCAAATAAAATAGAGACCCCTTACTTCCCTTTATGTCCATTTACTCTCCCTCAGTTAGAATAAAATTGTCTTAAATACTTTCTCCACATACATTTGGAAACACATCAGACACCAGGTGCGGTGGCTCACGCTTGTAATTCCAGCACTTTGGGAGGCTGAGGTAGGCATATCACCTGAGGCCAGGAGTTCAAGACCAGCCTGGCCAACATGGTGAAACCCAGTCTACTAAAAATACAAAAATTAGCTGGGTGTGGTGGTGCATGCCTGTAGTGCCAGCTACTCAGGAAGCTGAGGCACAAGAATCGATTGAACCCAGGAGGCAGAGGTTGCAGTGAGCCAAAATCACGCCACTGCACTCCAGCCTGGGTAACAGAGTAAGACTCAATCTCAAAAAAAGTTTCTGGGGCTGCCAGCATTTCTTGGCTAGTGGCTGCATCATTTCAGTCTCTGCTTCTGTCATCATACTGGCTTCTCCTCTTCTTTAGTCAAAACTTCTTTCCTCCTTCCTGATTTTCCAGGATTTTTTCTTTTATCATTTCCTTTCTGTTTAAAGAACTTCCTTTAACTATTCTTCTAGGACAGCTCTGCTGATGACAATTTCTCTTTGTTTTCCATTACCTAACAATGTCTTGATTTTCTCCCATATTCCTGAAGGATATTTTCACTAGAAACAGAATTCTTGCTTGACAGTTATTTTCTTTCAGCACTTGAGAAATGTGCTACTTCCTTCTGGTCTCCATGGTTTCTAGTGAGAAATGCGCTGTCATTCAAATTGTACTTTCCTTACAGCACTTGTTGTATTTTCCTAATTGCTTGTTGAAGCATTTTTACGAGGGCTGCTTTAAAATCTTTGTCAGATAATTAGAACATCTCTGTTATCTTGGTGTTGGTGTCTATTGATTACCTTTTTCAACCTAGTTGAGATTGTCTTTATAAGTTATTTTCAATTGAAATCTGGATATTTTGAGAATTAAGAGACTGGATCTTGTTTAAATTTTTTGTTTTATATGGCTTTTCCTAATACTGCTCCATCAGAAGAAAGGGAGATACTACCTCATTACTGCCATATGGGGATAGAAGTTCAGGTTCCCAACTCGGCCTCTGTTGACACTCAAAAATGGGAGAGGCTACTCATTACTGCTGGGTAGCAGGTGGGAGTGCTAGGTTCCCATTAGGCTTCCACTGATACTATCCTGACTGGAAGGAGGAGGCATGGCTCGTGCCTCCTCCCCACATGGTTTCCACTCATCATTACCTTCACATGCCTAGTGTTACTTGCACAAAAAAAACTAAAAAACAGAATGAAATAGGAAAATATACAAATTTGCTATTATGACAGCTTTTCAGATTGTCTCTATTTTGTTACTTGTTACTATGCTTATAAACTTTTATTTATTAAGAAAACTTTATTGTTACTTACTTCAATATCTAGTCATAGAGTGAGAAGATAACCTTATATACTAGAAAAAACAAAATCGTTAACAGAGTGGAACTATGTATTTGTAACCCAAACTTTTTCAAAGAAGAAAAGATGTACATAAAAAGCAACAGCAATAACAATAATAAAAGTTTAAATAATCCGAAAATTACCTCACAAACATCTTTACTTCATGTTTGTTCATACTCCCTTTCTGGCTTAATTATTGGATGACTGTTCTAGATTTTATCTGGAGAATAGTGAAGAAGGCAGACTCAAAATGTCATGAATTATAAACAAAAACTGAAAAAATACTAAAATAGTGTTGCAAGAATGGTTCTGTATTATAAAATATATAAACCTCATACTAATAGCTCCAAGGAGGATACACACACATTTAAGTACTTCTCCTCTCTCTTTCCCTCTCTCTATACACACACATATATAGAATATTTTAATTTACAAATATGAGTTTAATGGAATAATTTGCGTTTGATCAACATCAAGCATGATGTTCTCCATACTCAATAACAAATACGCTATACAAAAATATTCATTTTTTAAAAAGTTATGTAACAACTAAATAATGGGGAAAGTTTTTGTAGTTCCATATCATAAGATAAATCAAAACTGTTTTATATTTAAGAGAGATGCAGAGTTCCCATGTTATGGAGATGACATGAAATTCCCATATTCCTAGTAAAAAAACACTTCATTCTTTGGGTAACCACTACTTTCCACATTTCTAACCTATCATTATTCATCTAATTGCCCATTCCTCATTTAGTCAATGCATCCAGACTACAATTTCTTATAATCAGTTTAAGGAAACTATACTGCACAATGTTGCAGGTCCTTTTGTATCACCACAGTATGAAAAAATCAAGTACATATGAATACATAATTTTGACATTCAAATTAAAGTACTTAAAACTATTAACGCTATATAGGACTGATTTTGGAATATTAACGCTATGATGTAGTCGTTTTTAAAATATAACATGTTTAAATATAAAGTTATCAAGTTATCCCAAGGTAAATGTTATGCAACAGAACAGAACACATTTATCTCTACTCTCTCCACAGAGTAACACCTCAAAAATGAATTTAAACAATTGTTTAAAAGGCAGAAGCTACTTGAACAAAGGAAATGAGAGAAAACACAATGACAAATCAGATCACTCCATAAGATCTGACTTAAATGCTAGAAAGTTGGTTCATACCTTGGGGAGGAGAAAGAAGGTTAGCAGGGATAGCAAAGAGGAAACCCATGCTACACTGCAGAACCTTCAAAAGGCTCAGGAGTTGGCAGCACCAAGTACTTATGGACGTGGAGGTGAAGGTGTGGCTAAAAACAGATGACTTAGAGGAAAGCCTATTAAAAAAGCAATCAACATGACAGATCCCCTCCTCATGATCAGAACACTACAGGATTCTCCTCTGGAAAAGGTAAAACAAGGTAGCTGGGCTAGAAAACCAGACACAGGTGAGAGTTTACAGTCTGAAAACAGGGGTGTTATCAGAAAGGTTACTTAATGTCCGTACATGTTCAACACTGCCACCTCCAGCCTTCTTCCCCCATTCAGCTCCCAGAACACTGGCAAGTGGGCTTAGATGACAGGAGGTTGAAAGAGTCTTTTTGAAGGTCTGGCTAGCCCCAAGAAAAAGACCTAAAGGTACTAACATTGGCTATTTCCTAATGAAATGGCCCCACATATCACTCCACATTGAAGTTCACTGTATGTAAGCATCAGTGACCCTCCTTTTTCCCCACCTACCAACTTGGGATATTTTTTAAATGGGCTTACAGTGTTTGCCTACAGCATATGTTCAAGAAAATTTGTAAAAATGATAACAATAAATTTAGAGGGAACCAAGTTTCATTACATATTAAACAAAACCAGCAATTTGGATCTTATTTGAAATCTGTGATTACTCAAGTATGCTATGCTAAAACATCTTCGCATTTTCTATTAAATAGGAAGTCTAAAATTACATTTAAATATTACTAGATACTGGTGATTTTTAAAACCACTTGAAAGAAGTGGCTCCTGCATTGCAACATTTGGCAACAACATTTTGTGCTAAGTCAAATCTTTTTTTAATATATCCAATAAAAGAGGTGAATAATCAAAGATACTCACTAGGGTAGAATTAATTTGAGTTGTACATATTTGAAAGTAAAATAACAACAACAACAACAGCAACAGCAAACTGTACCTCATCAAGCTAGGATTCAAATATTTCATTAGTTCACTAGCCTACAATAATTGATAACTTCTAACAATTATTTTCCTTTCTCACACAAAAGGAGCTACAACACCATTATTTGCATAAAACAATTTGGCTTTTCCTCTCTTTCGCAGTTTTCCATAGTACACTTGGTTTCCAAACTCTGCTAAACTATAATGTAAACTATACTAGAAATACACCACATATTTTGGCAGAATTAATGAATTACTTGATCTCTTCATTTCTTACAGCACCTAAAATATTATATTTGTGTACTCAATATCTGTTAAATTGAATAAAAATCTTCATCCACTTAAACTGTTTTCATTAAGCAGCTTGATTTCTTATAGAAATATAAAACATATACACATTGTATTCCTATAATTACTTAAAATATTTTTGGCACTGCATTTTGCTCTAAATTAAATCAGTTTTATATGTATAAATTTTTAAAAGGCTTCCTGGAAATGTTCTAAAATAATTCTAAGAACTGAATTTCCATACTTTCCACCTTAAATTACCTACTGGCACTGGCATCCACTACTAGGAAAACGCAAACTTTCACATCAAAAAGACATATTCTTACTTTTGCTTGGTTGCAGATGCAATAAAACAATCTACCCTTTAAACTTTGACAGCAAAAACTTTAAAATTACAAGGTATACAAGACTAAATTTCATTAAATGCCATCAAAACATCTCTTCTTTTGACATACTTATCAGCATGCTGCAAAGACTAGTCATCTCTTGTGCAGTGCTAACTTACAATTTTCACATTTTCTAATTAAGGCTCCCTGTAGCCCCTATTCAGTTGTCTGGCATTAAAAAAATAAAGAGTTTTCTTCCTTTCTTTCCTGGTCATTATTAGGTCTTGAAATAATTCAGCAACAATTTCACCCATGTTGTGCCTTTCACTCTCTTAAAGCATCAGCCACAAAAACAAATCCCTGAATCCAAAAGCTGGGCCAGATTATGAAGGAAAAAGAGCAGAAATTAAAGCTAGTAACAAAATCACCACAAAAACACAGCAGCAGAGAAGACCAATTCTATCACAGGAAAATACGGCAACCGCTAAATATAAAACCTCTGACTCCTCAAATTTCTTTTCATTATCTGAAAACGTCTTTCCTTTCAGCTGCAATTTATTGGCTTACTGTGGTAAGAATGATTCTTTCATGCTACAAAAGAAGTGTTGAAATCTTAGACTGATTTTTTTAAGTAAAAATAATTATTACTTTGTCACAGTTTATTTCGTAGATAAAAGGTCTCAAAATCTGGAGTACACAAGGGAAATAAAATGATGGAAACATCATGATCCACAGATATATACAACTATGAAAACACACGTGTTTAAGTTTAGAAACTAAAATCATTAAATGAAGTTATACCTATTGGAATTTATCACAATAATTTACAAAAATTGCTCATGAGTTTTAAAATGATAATGAACATTTATTATGCTGACCTGGATCTCCTCCCAGATGTCTTCATCCAACAAAGTAGCTGCTCTATGGTGCTGCAAAGGGACTATCAGGCAGTGCCCCTCAGTAAGAGACCGTACGTTGGGTAAACATAAATAAACCTATAAGAGAGAAATACAAAAGGTGAAATGTTATTGTTATTTATATGTTATATATTTATATGTTAATGCTATTTATTCTCAGTTGTAACAGATGAGCCCCTAGTAGAAAAAAATGATGAATATTTAATGAAGAATACTTAAGAATTGCTTTTGCAAATGTTAATATTTTTAAAGATATTTAGTATTTTTAAAGGCATCAGGATAGCTTTTAATAAACTGAAAATTTAGAGCACAGATCTCAATTTTCACTATTTTACATCAGACAACGATTAAGATTAGGCAAAGAAGAGCAGAATGAATGACACAATATCCTTAATCTGAAGGAGCTAGATACTTTGACAACTCTTGAAACAACACAATTTTCACAAAAACAAAAAGACACATGGCCTGGTAACGGTAGTCTAACTGATGCCTGTTTATCAGGCCTTCCTTCTCTGATTAGCTGAGAAAAGAGAATTAACTCAGCTAAGACGAAGAGGAAATGACCTCGGAATGGCTTTACCACTGTGTATTTACATACATGTATTACCTAAAAACTGGTGCTAATTTTCCATTATATACAAACTGTCTTAAAAAAAAAAGGTTAATCGGTATATATACAGAGAACAAAAGCATTACAAAGGGCTTGATCTTATTCTTATTTCTGTTATATTTTGCTGGGTTTTAGCTAGAAATATTTTGCATGGCAGACATTATTTATTTAATAGAATAACTCAAATGTTTAAAACTTTGCTGACAAACAACAAAGTAGGAGTGGACATGGATATCTACCTAAAATTACAGTAAAATCACAAACATGTTCATGAAAAAAAGAAATAAAGATTAAGGGTCATGGGTATGTCTATAGACAACTTACAAGATTTAGAAAATGAAATATTTAAAGAAATCACTGAATTTTCTACATAATCACTGAGATAAAGAGCCAGGTCCAAGTGTCAATGACAGGTCAAATAAGTTGTAATAAAATTCATTTTTAAAAGCATTATAAACATAAAAATCCCCTAAAATTGGTATCAAAAGCAGTTTTTCCAAATAGATACATAAAAGAGAAAAGAAAATTCATAAATTAATACCTAAATAAATTAGAACACACAAAAAAGCAATACTTTCTTTTATTTGACAGAGAAAGCAGAGCTACTGATTGGCTGATCAATAATTACTGAGGGCCAATTACATGCTGGGCAGTGTTCTACATGCTAGGGAATCAACAATGTGCAGGGACACAAATCCCTACCCATAAGGAGCTTATGGGGTGCTACAGATTGAATGTCTGTGTGCCTCCAAAATATACACATTAAATCTTAACACCCAAGGTGATAATATTTGGAGGTAGGGGACTTCGGGAGGTGATTAGATCATGAGGACAGAGCCCTTATGAATGGGATTAATTATCTTATAAAAGAAGCCCCAGGGAATGTTCTTGCCACTTCCACCATGTAACGACACACCAATAAGATGACTGTCTGTGAACCAGGATGTGGGACCTCACACTGAATCTGCTAGCACCGATCTTGGACTTCCCAGCCTCCAGAACTAGCTTCAATAAATTTCTGTTGCTGATAAGCCATCCAGTCTACGGTATTTTTTATAGTAGCCCGAACTAAGACATCAAAGAAGAAATACAAATAAACAATGTAAATGTAAAGTAAAATGCACAATATGTCAGATGGTGATAAGGGGTACTAAAAAAAATAAAGCAGAAAAAGGTATAGATAGTGTCTAGGGAGAAGTTAGGAAGCCTCCCTTTAAAGTTACCTTCTAGGGTAACATTTGAGAAGATATGTGAAGGAAGGAAGGGTAGACACAAGAAGAAACTCCCAGGCAAAAGGAAAAGCATGTGAGGAGGATGCATACCAAGTGTGCTCTCCAGCTTGTCAGACAGCCAGTGTGGCTAAGCTGAGATGATGAGAGGAAGGCTGACAGACAGTGAGGTGACAGGAAGAATTGGGCCTGTAGGCCTGCCTCATAGGCGACAATAAGGATTCCAGCTTTGGTCTGAAAGCCAGATCTGACTAATGTTGACTTAAAGTCAAAAAGATCACTTGCTACTGTATAGAGAAAGGGCAAAGGAAAGAGGCAGAAAGACCCATTAGGAAACTATTACAGAAGTCCAGTAATAAATGATGATGACTTGAACCAGGGTGGTAGAAATAAAGATTATGAAATGTGGTCAGAACATGAATATATTCTGAAATATAGCCAACAGAATTTAGAAATGGACAGTAAGGAGTGAGGGAAAGTAAAGGACTCAATATTACTCCAAGGTCTAATGCAAGCAACTGGAGGATGAAAGTGACATTTACTAAAAAGAGGAAGACTATGGGAGGGTTAGTGTTAGCTAAAGGTAAAGGTGGAGACGGGTATTAGACCTTCACCTAAGTTTCAGATGTTTACTAGATATCCAAGTGGAAAAGTAGGTTGGATACATGAACCTAGAATTCTAGGAGATATTTGGGTTAAAATGTAAATTTGCTAGTGGTCTAAAAACAGTAGTCATGAAATGAACAGAACATTTCAGAGAAAGATATCTCTGTTATAGCATTTTAAGAGAGTGTAAGCAAAAATTCTAAAAGTCTTCTATAGTAGATTGCATAAAGGCATCCAGTTATTTACTACTCCATATACTGAAACCCTTCACAATGTTACTCTGTAGCTCCTCCCATCAAGAGATGGGTGCAAACTGGCCTTATGACTCATAAGGGCCACAGAATATGGTAGAAATGATGATGGTCAGTTCCAAGACTATGCCTCAAGAGGCCTTGTGTACTTCTGCTAATTCTGTTGGAACAAGCCTAGCTCCCATGTGAAGAAGCCTATGCTAGCCTACTGGAAGATAACAGACCATACAAAACAGAATGATTTAAATGCTGTCTTAAGCCACTAAATTTTGGTGTAGTTCATTTATGTATGAATGCTAGTATATCTCCTCTTCCCCCACCTAAAGGTATAAATGGAAGACTAGATAATTCTCAGGTCTGATGTATAAAGTCTTTACACTCCTGAGGTCTGAGATCCAGTAAGGGTAGTACCCACTTAAGACAGCTTATAGTTCCCAGAATGAACCATGTGGTTGTAAACCTCAGTGTCTTTGCTTGTATTGTCCTGTATTTCCTAAATACTGAAATGTATCCTATTCCACCATTAAAATGTAGCACAAGACATACTTCTTCCAGAAAGCCTTCCTTGATAACTCCACGGTAACCTAAATATTCCTCTTTCGTGTTCCCACGAAATGCAAGAGCATTTATATCACTGCATTAAAACTGATCTGGTTATGTTTGCCTGCTCCCCATAAAGCTGTAAGCAACTTGAGGAGGTTTTAGGCATATTTATATTTCTAGTACCTAGTACTAGAGGCTGACAAACACTAGATACTCAGTAAATACCTGGTAAATGAATGAATTACCAAGCAGTTTTTTGTTTCTTTTTCTAAATCAAATTAAAAATAGATGACTAGAATCAGGCAAAAATATTAAAGAATGAACATAACTCTTATTTAAGTTATAACCATGTTGTTTACATGAAAGTTGGGAAAGGAACTTAGAAAAATAAATATAATTAGTTAAGATGGATTTTTAAAAATTATTTAATTTTGAATGGGATTTTGACATTTATCTTTTTGTTAAGTATAAAGGAAAAGAGAAGAAAAAGAAGATAAGAAAATAAATCAAAAGAAGCCAGAATGGACACTGATGTAACCACCTCAACAACCTAAAGATATTAAAGACTAGGGGTATGTGTATGTATACAATAAACAACATAAATATGTACATGTATGTTTCCCAAACTATTCGTTCCTGAAACTAGCATTCATTCATTCATTCAACTTCTTCTACTTTTCTCACTGACTCCACTCCTGCCTTCTTTCTGCTCCACCAATGCTAAGCTCATTTCCTCCTCAGGGCTTTTCACTGACAGTCCTTCCTGAAACATTATTCATTCCTATCTTCAGGTTACTTGTCCTTCCCATTTTATGCATCTTTACTAAAGTTCCTCAGAGAAGCCTTCCAGACTACCTTGTGAAAAAAATACCCCCATCACTTTCTCCCATTTCCTCACTTTACTTGCTTTATGACAATTAATTCTTTCAAATCAGGGCAATTATTACTTTATTTACTGCCTTATTTCACTAGTCATAAGGTCTAAAAGTCTGAGTCTCAACTTTTCCCCAGTGACTAATTAGGGTATGGCAGATATTAGGTATACAAAAATTATTTATTCAATGTAAGAATTAAATCAATAAGTATTTATTGAAATGAATTACTATTATGTACTACAACCAGGGCTAGATGCTTTGTATACAATGGAGAACAAAAGTTATCTCTGTCTTCACGGAGCTTAAAAATTATTAGGGGAAAGACCCAATAAACAAGTAAAACAGACAAAATAATAAACTTATTCAAGTTATTCTATGAAGAAACAAAAAAAGTTCTATGAGAATGTAAGCAAAGGATAATAAATACTTCTTACCTTAACACCTATTGCAACAATAAGATGCTTGGGAAATTGAGAGCTGTCAAAACAATACAGACATTTTTCCATTTGTGCAGCAAGACTCCGATGCTCAGCAATAGCTTTTTTCCTTTGGTTCTCTTCCTCTTCACCAAGACGTTCTCTCTCAGCTGCTTTGGAGACAAACATGTCATCCAGGGTGTAATAGTCTCCATCTGTTTTTCCCATAAACTGAAAAACCAAAATAACAGTAATAGAGAGTAGAAGGTAGTGATTAAGATTTTACTGCACTGTGGTATCCTAAATCTGTATCTGTAAGTTCTATGATAAAACTAATACATTTAAAAGAAAAGAAAAAACATGATTAATATTTGTTTGATCTTCTAGAGTCAATCTATCATCATCATCACCACAGCTAAAGTTTACTGAATATTTACTATATACAATTCTATATGACTTGTTCATGTTTTATACTCCTATGTGGTGGGGACCATTAGCATTTTCATTTTCAACTAATAGATGAGGAAACTGAATCACAGAGAGGTTTAAATTGTAACTTTAAAAATTCACATATACACTATATAGAATGTGGAACTTTTTTTTTTTTTTTAACCACATCTCCAGGTACCTTCTCCATATCTCTCCCAACATGAACTATGGACAGATTGATGCTTTCAAAATACAAAAACACAAATTTTATTTTCTTATTTTATGTACCTCCTTAGGTAGTTATGAGAGTTCTATACTGTGTACAGAATGAAGTTCAAACTCTTGAACTTGAAAGCCAACTAAATCATACATACATAAAGTCATAATGGTTTAAAGCTTAGATTCCACAGTCAAAATGACCATGGTAAAGTTCTATCTCCTGTGTGTATAACCTTGAACATATTATTTAATTTCTCTGTGCTCTCTCTATGCCTTATTTCCTCATTTTACAATGGTTGTAACAATACTGCCTGCGTATCCCTTATCCAAATGCTTGGGACCAGAAGAGTTTTAGATTTCCAATTTTTTCCAATTTTGGAATATTTGCATATATATAGTATCATGGGGATGGGATGCAAGTCTAAAATGAAGTTCATTTATGTTTCCTATGTACCTTAAATGCATAGCCCTAAGGTAACTGTATATAATATTTTTAATAATTTTGTGCATGAAACAAAGTTTATGTATATTGAACTATCAGAAGGCAAAGATGTCATTATCTCAGCCACCCATAAAGAATTACAGCACATTTACACTTATTTATACCTGCTGCATTGGCACATGACTGCAGTTATTCTGTCCTTGGCATCCTTATTTCCTGACAGGCTGTCTCATCAGTTGTAGTAAGTGTCTTCCTGGGTCAACCCATGAGGTTTAATTCTACTCATTTTTCAATACTATGGTAAGAATTAGCTGTCATTTCCATCAAAGAAACTTCCTCCATCTTGCAAGCCCCTCCAATGTGTACTTGTACTGCTGTCAGTCTCAGGATGACTACACTGTATCACACTCATTAACTTGTCTTTTTTTTCCATTACACTGCATTCTACTAAGTGTAATATAAGTACTAAAGTACTAAGTGTAATGTAAATTACTTAGTGTAATGGAAGTATTAAAGTACTAAGTATTAAAAACAAAACAGGCCAGGCGCGGTGGCTCACACCTGTAATCCCTGCACTTTGGGCAGCCAAGGCAGGCGGATCACGAGGTCCAGGAGTTTGAGACCAGCCTGACCAACATGGTGAAACCCCGTCTTTACTAAAAATACAAAAGTAGCCGGGCGTGGTGGTCCATGCCTATAATCCCAGCTACTCAGGAGGCTGAGACAGGAGAATCGCTTGAACCAGGGAGATGGAGGTTGCAGTGAGCCAAGATAGCGCCACTGCACTCTAGACTGGGCGACAAGAGCGAAACTCCGTCTCAAAAAAAAAAAAAACAAACAAAAGCAACAACAACAACAACAAAAAACAAAACTACATGTTATCATCAAACACAAAGCAATAAAAAGATGCTTGGATGTTAGCATTTTAAATGATTTGAAGATGGAGCAGTTCTATTCATGTCAGACAAAGCAGATTTCATAGCATATAGTATTATGAATGATAAAAGGTCACCTGATAAAGGAATCATAACATCAAGAGGACACAACATTCTGTAGATTATGTAAGTTGAAAAGAAAAATTTTAAGAGGACATAACAATCCTAAAGTTTATATACCTAATAACAGAATTTCAAAATGCATAACAAAAAACTTGATAGAACTGCCAAAGAAACAGACAAATCCCAACTGTAATCACAGATTTTAAATACCTCACTCTCTATAATTGGTAGCACAAACAGAAAAGCAATAGCTACGTCGAAGACTTGAACACACTATCAACCAACTTGACTTAATTGACATTAATAGAAATTCCACCCAACAGCGCAAAATATACGTTCTTCTCAATTGTACATGGAATATCAACCAAGCTAGATGACATTCTGGGTCATAGCACAAGTCTCAATAAATTTAAAAGGATTCTAGTAACTTAAAGTATGTTCTCTGAACACAATGGAATTAAAAATCAGTAACAGAAATATTTTTGGAAAAATATTTTTGGAAAACTGCCACATACCTGGTATTGTGCACTTCTAAATGACCCATGAATCAACAACAACAACAAAAAAAGACAATGAGAAATGACTTTAAACAGCAATAAAACAAAAATACAACATATCAGAATTTGTGGTATGCTGCTAAAGCATAATTTAGAGGGAAAATTATAGCATTAAACATCTGTATTAAAAGACAAGAAAGGTCTCAAATCAATGATGCCAACTGCCACCTTAAGAAACTAGAAAAAGAAAAAATAAAACCCAATGTAAATAGAAGAAAATTTATTTAACACCATTACTGAAAGAATCAGGTAAAAAGATTATTACCAAGGCATTTCTTAGAGCACACTGACTTCCTTGTTTCTACTAGCAATTTATTTTTTTCTTCCACAATATTCTACATATTAGTCCTTGTATACTTCTTGACTTTTCCAGGTTTGTCTATTTATGTAAACTGCATTGCCTTACAAATTATTATTTTAAATTTATTTTAACTTTATATCTTCATCTAAACCATAATTCATTACATTCTAAAAAATATCAGAACTGGTCACTAATCATTTTCATGAAATAGTGTCCAACTACATGCCAGATAGTAATTCTAATCCAAATATTTCTGCAACACAGAAATTTTTATTTTCACTTGACAGATTAAAAACTGAGGCTAGGCCAGGCACAGTGGCTCATGCCTGTAATCCCAGCATTTTGGGAGGTGGAGGTGGGCGGATCACCTGAGGTTGGGAGTTTGAGACCAACCTGACCAACATGGAGAAACCCTGTCTCTACTAAAAATACAAAAATTAGCCAGGCGTGGTGGCACATGCCTGTAATCCCAGCTACTCAGGAGGCTGAGGCAGGAGAATTGCTTGAACCCAGGAGGCGGAGGTTGCTGTGGGCCGAAATCACGCCATTGCACTCCAGCCTGGGCAACAAGAGTGAAACTGCGTCTCAAACAACAAAACAAAAACAAAAACAAAAACAAAAACAAAAAACCGAGACTAACAGAAACTAAGTAACTTAACCAAAATCACACAGCTATTAAAGGACAGAACCAGGAATCAAAACTGGTTGGTCTGAATACAAAACTGCAGTGTCTGGCATATAAGTGAGGCTTTTTCCCTTAAGAAATCAATGTTTGAAACACAGAAAGGGCATACTGTGAATATAGTCTATGAAGCAGAATAAAGAGCTAGAAGAAAACTTATTTCATCTAGAATAAACATACCAAATCAAGTTAAGGTACTTAACAGTGGGAACGCAGATATCTAGGTAGGTATTTATCTTATCCAAAATATATTAACAGGAGCACAATACACATTTATACATACATAATTGTGCCTTCATATGATATAGCCCATTGTGTTTTTGGAAAGTTCATAAATGATCACAGAAAATATTCAATTCAAATCAAATGTTTTATACATGGAAGATGGTATTTCTACTCTTAAATCTAGTTTTCATGGATGTTGCCAAACCTCTCTGATTTATTTGTAGTGTTTGAATTGAAAATGATACAGTCTTGCCAATTAAGTCTGACTGATTCTTCAATATAACTGAAATATGGTCCCTACTGATCCAGGAACAATTAATTCCCTCCTCCTGCAGCCTCAAATTATTTGCATTTTTACTCATTATCTTTTCTTTAGGCTTTGATACAAATATTTTTAATTTATCAATCATATATACCTCTTCTATGACCTCCAGCCTACCGTATTCTCATTATTTGAGAGTAACAATCAACATTTTTTAACAGATAGACTGGTAAAAGATAGTGGAGAATGTACTAAGTGTAAGATGGAAAAAGTGAACAAAACTGCTGGATGAAAGGAGATAAAGAAAAGAGGAGCATGAAAATATGCCTCTTCATCATTTAGACAGAACCCTTTAAAAAGCTGATTATATTATACAAAATCAATTTGGCGCACCATAAACACAAACTAAATGACAGTGAGTTAGCCATTTCACACTCACTAGGATGGCTACAATCAAATAGACAGATAATAACAAGTGTTGTCAAGGATGTGGTAAAATAAGAACCCTCACACACTGCTGATGGGAATGTAAGATAGTGCAGCTGCTTTGGAAAACAGTCTGGTAGTTCCTCAAACATTTCAATATAGATTAATTAATAAAATATTAAACATATGGCTTACCACAGGGGTGCCCAATCTTTTGGCTTCCCTGGGCCACATTGGAAGAAGAACCATCTTGGGCCCCACATAAAATACACTAACACTACTGATAACTGATGAGCTAAAAAAAAAAAAAAAAATCACAAAAAGCTCGTAATATTTGAAGAAAGTTTACAAATTTGTGTTGGGGTGCATTCAAAGTTGTCCTGGGCCACATGTGGCCCACAAGCCATGGGTTGGACAAGGTTGAGTTACCACATGACCAAGAAACTCCACAATGTAGTATTATTTAGCCATAAAAAGAATGAAGTACTGATACTTGTTACAACATGGATGATCTATAAAAACATTATGCTAAGTGAAAAAAGTCAGTCATTTAAAAAAACACTATTCTATGATTCCATTCATATGAAATGTCGAGAACAGGGAAATCTATAGACAAAATAGATTAGTAGCTGCTTAGGGCTTAAGGAGGAAGAGTTGAGAGGATTAGCTAATTTTAATCTGTATTTTTTCACTGTAATCAACTTTAACCATGAGAGTAACAGCTTTTAGTCAATTCTGTGAGTCTTTCCAGTAAAATATTGAACCCAAGAGTGGCCTTAGGGACCTCTGAACCTGCAGCTGGTGTCAGGAGTAAAGCTGGTCTTGAGGACTCCCCAACATCATATTTGGCTGGATGGTCAGGGACTTAGAACACAATTAGAGAATTGATGACAAGGAGGTCTGGGAAAGAGTTATGCAAACAGATACAGAGTACAAGGATACTTATCTCCCACATGACAGTACTTATGTCATTAGCTACTCCTATCATCGTCTCAAAGCTTGTGAACAAAACAGCCATGCACAGATAAAAGTTACACATGAGCTTACCATCATGAGTTTGGACTCACCAAAGCCAACTGGGCTACATACACTGCTGAATACCCAGTCTGCCAACAACAGAGACCAACACTGAGCCCGATAGGATAACTCTCCCTCTAGCAGCAAGGTGAATACAACAGGCCGCTTCCATCCTGGAAGGGGCAGTGCTTTCTTCTTACTGGAATAGATACTTTGGATATGGATTTGCCTTCCTGGCATGCCATGCTTCTGCCAAAATCCCCATCATTCTGAAGTAGATGTCTGGACAGAACAGTGAACTGTCCTTTTGAAGATGTAATTACAAGTACCAGCCAGGTGACTATCCCTTGTAGGGCTGGGCTATGTCTTCCAGGATATAGTATATGCTCTAAGTCAGCATCCAAACAATGATGATCCACAACTAGGATCCACAGGTCTGGGAATCTTAGGGAAAAAACAGGAGTGACTATTACCCTTTGTGATAAACTAGCAAAATTTTTGCTTCCCATTCCTGTGACTTTAGACTCTACCGGTCTAGAGGTTTTAGTTCGAAAAGGAGAAATACAGGGCCAGGCACAGTGGTTCACACCTGTAATCCCAGCACTTTGGGAGGCCAAGGAAGGAGGCAGGAAGACTCCTTGAACCCAGGAGTTCAAGACCAGCCTGGGCAACATGGCAGAACCCCATCTACATTTTACAAAGGAAAAAAAAAAAGAAGGAATACTTCCACCAAGGGACACAACAACGACTCACCGAACTTGAAGTTGAGACTGCTACCTCGCTGCTATGACTCCTCACTCCACTGAATGAAAAGGCATTGTATTGGCTGAAGCCACTGATCCTATCAAGGGCAAATTGGATTGGACTACACAACGGAGGTAAGAGGAAGTATGGCTGGAATGTAGGAGATCCTTGAGGGTGCCTCTTAGTATTCTCCTGTTGCATGCATAGATTGCATAGTGATGAAGTCAGGGCATTTAAAGTATTCATCACTCAAATAATGTACATTGCATCCATTAAGTAATTTCTCATCATCTGTCCTCCTCCCACCCCCTTATTCTTCTGAGTCTCTATTTTCTATTATTCCATTCTCTACATCCATGTGTATACATTATTTAGCTCCCACTTAAAAGTGAGAACATGTGATATTTGTCTTTCTGTGCCCGACTTGTTTCACTTAAGATAATGACTTCCAGATTCATTTATGTTGCAGCAAAAAACAAAAACAAAAACAAAAACAAAAAACACAATTTCATTCTTTCTTATGGGTGAATAGTATTCCATTGTGTATATATACCACACTTTGTTTATCCAATCATCCACTGATAGACACAGGTTGATTACATTATCTTTAATCTTGTGAACACTGCCACAATAGACATACAAGTGGGGGTATTTTTTATAATGATTTATTTCCCTTTGAGTAGATAGATACCTAGTAATGGGATTGCTGAATCAAATGATAGTTCTACTTTTAGTTCTTTGAGAAATCTCCATACCGTTTTCCATAGAGGCCGTACCAATTTACATTCCCCACAACAGTGCATAAGAGCTCCCTTATCTCCACATCCTCACAAGCATCTGTTAGTTTTTTAAATTTTTAATAGTAGCCATTCTGGCTGGGGTACGATAATATCTCACTGTGGTTTTAATGCCCATTTTTCAGATGATTAGCGATGTTGAACATTTTTTCATTTACCTGTTGACCATTTGCATATCCTCTTTTGAAAGATATCTATTCATATCCTTGCCCACTTTTTAGTGGGACTATTTGTTGTTGTTGCTGAATTGAGTTCCTTGTATATTCTTGGATATTAGACCCTTGACAAATGCATATTTTGCAAATATTTTCTCGCACTGTGCAGGCTATCTGTTCATAAAGCTTTTTAGTTTAATTAACTGTCATTTGTCTTTGTTTTTATTGCTCAGGCTTTTGAGGTCTTAGTAATGAATTCTTCGCCTAGATCAATGTCCAGAAGAGTTTCCCCTAGGTTTTCTTCTAGAGTTTTTATGGTTTCAAGTTCTCCATGTAAGTCTTTAATCCATCTTAAGTTGATTTTTGTGTATGTTCAGAGATATGGGTCCAGTTTCATACTTCTTCTGCATAGGGCAAACCAATTTTCCCAGCACCATTTACTGAAAAGAGTATCTTTTCCCCGGTGTATGTTCGTGTCAACTTTGTCAAAGATCAGTTGATTGTAAATATGTGGCTTTATTTCAATATTTCCTATTCTGTTCCATTGATCTGGCTGTCTATTGTTTACGTCAGTACCAAGCTGTTTTGGTTACTATAGCGTTTTCAGTATAATTTGAAGTCAGGTAATCAGATGCCTGCAGCTTTGCAGCTTTGGGTTTTTTTTATTGTTTTTGCTTAGGATTTCTTTGGCTATTAAGGCTCTTTTTTGGTTCCATATGAATTTTAATATTGTTTGTTCTAATTCTGTGAAAAATGCTGTTGGTATGTTGATAGAGATTATAATCAACCTGTAGATTACTCTGGCCAGTATGGCAATTTTAATGATATTAAGTCTTCTGGTCCATGAGAATGGGATGTTTTTCCATTTATTTGTGTCATCTACGATTTCTTTCACAGGTGCTTTATACTTTTCCCTGTAGAGATCTTTCACCTCCTTGGTTAAATATATTCCTAGGTATTATTTTTTATAGCTATTGTAAATGGGATTACCTTGATGACTTCATTCTCAGCTACACTGTTATGGTGTATAGAAATGCTACTGGAAGATGTTGGGGGAGGAGCCAAGATGGCCGAACAGGAAGAGCTCTGGTCTACAGCTCCAAGCGTGAGAGACGCAGAAGACGGGTGATTTGTGCATTTCCATCTGAGGTACCGGGTTCATCTCACTAGGGAGTGCCAGACAGTGGGCGCAGGTTAGTGGGTGCACGCACCGTGCGTGAGCCGAAGCAGGGCGAGGCATTGCCGCACTTGGGAAGCGCAAGGGGTCAGGGAGTTCCCTTTCTGAGTCAAAGAAAGGGGTGACGGACGCACCTGGAAAATCGAGTCACTCCCACCCAAATATTGCGCTTTTCAGACCGGCTTAAAAAACGGCACACTACGAGATTATATCCCGCACCTGGCTCGGAGGGTCCTACGCCCACGGAGTCTCGCTGATTGCTACCACAGCAGCTGAGATCAAACTGCAAGGCGGCAGCGAGGCAGGGGGAAGGGGCGCCCGCCATTGCCCAGGCTTGCTTAGGTAAACAAAGCAGCCAGGAAGCTCGAACTGGGTGGAGCCCACCACAGCTCAAGGAGGACTGCCTGCCTCTGTAGGCTTCACCTCTGGGGGCAGGGCACAAACAAACAAAAAGACAGCAGTAACCTCTGCAGACTTAAATGTCCCTGTCTGACAGCTTTGAAGACAGCAGTGGTTCTCCCAGCACGCAGCTGGAGATCTGAATACGGGCAGACTGCCTCCTCAAGTGGGTCCCTGACCCCTGACCCCCGAGCAGCCTAACTGGGAGGCACCCCCAGGAGGGGCAGACTGACACCTCACATGGCTGGGTACTCCAACAGACCTGCAGCTGAGGGTCCTGTCTGTTAGAAGGAAAACTAACAAACAGAAAGGACATCCACACCAAAAACCCATCTGTACATCACCATCATCAAAGACCAAAAGTAGATAAAACCACAAAGATGGGGAAAAAACAGAACAGAAAAACTGGAAACTCTAAAACGCAGAGCGCCTCTCCTCCTCCAAAGGAACGCAGTTCCTCACCAGCAACGGAACAAAGCTGGATGGAGAATGACTTTGACGAGCTGAGAGAAGAAGGCTTCAGACGATCAAATTACTCCGACCTACGGGAGGACACTCGAACCAAAGGCAAAGAAGTTGAAAACTTTGAAAAAAATTTAGCAGAATGTATAACTAGAACAACCAATACAGAGAAGTGCTTAAAGGAGCTGATGGAGCTGAAAACCAAGGCTCGAGAACTACGTGAAGAATGCAGAAGCCTCAGGAGCTGATGAGATCAACTGGAAGAAAGGGTATCAGCGATGGAAGATGAAATGAATGAAATGAAGCGAGAAGGGAAGTTTAGAGAAAAAAGAATAAAAAGAAATGAGCAAAGCCTCCAAGAAATATGGGACTATGTGAAAAGACCAAATCTACGTCGGATTGGTGTACCTGAAAGTGACAGGGAGAATGGAACCAAGTTGGAAAACACTCTGCGGGATATTATCCAGGAGAACTTCCCCAATCTAGCAAGGCAGGCCAACGTTCAGATTCAGGAAGTACAGAGAATGCCACAAAGATACTCCTCGAGAAGAGCAACACCAGGACACATAATTGTCAGATTCACCAAAGTTGAAATGAAGGAAAAATGTTAAGGGCAGCCAGAGAGAAAGGTCGGGTTACCCTCAAAGGGAAGCCCATCAGACTACCAGCGGATCTCTAGGCAGAAACTCTACAAGCCAGAAGAGAGTGGGGGCCAATATTCAACATTCTTAAAGAAAAGAATTTTCAACCCAGAATTTCATATCCAGCCAAACTAAGCTTCCTAAGTGAAGGAGAAATAAAATACTTTACAGACAAGCAAATGCTGAGAGATTCTGTCACCACCAGGCCTGCCCTAAAAGAGCTCCTGAAGGAAGTGCTAAACATGGAAAGGAACAACCGGTACCAGCCGCTGCAAAATCATGCCAAAATGTAAAGACCATCGAGACTAGGAAGAAACTGCATCAACTAACGAGCAAAATCACCAGCTAACATCATAATGACAGGATCAAATTCACACATAACAATATTAACTTTAAATGTAAATGGACTAAATGCTCCAATTAAAAGACACAGACTGGCAAATTGGATAAAGAATCAAGAACCATCAGTGTGCTGTATTCAGGAAACCCATCTCACGGGCAGAGACACACATAGGCTCAAAATAAAAGGATGGAGGAAGATCTACCAAGCAAATGGAAAACAAAAAAAGGCAGGGGTTGCAATCCTAGTCTCTGATAAAACAGACTTTAAACCAACAAAAATCAAAAGAGACAAAGAAGGCCATTACTTAATGGTAAAGGGATCAATTCAACAAGAAGAGCTAACTATCCTAAATATATATGCACCCAATACAGGAGCACCCAGATTCATAAAGCAAGTCCTCAGTGACTTACAAAGAGACTTAGACTCCCACACATTAATAATGGGAGACTTTAACACCCCACTGTCAACATTAGACAGATCAACGAGACAGAAAGTCAACAAGGATACCCAGGAATTGAACTCAGCTCTGCCTCAAGCGGACCTAATATACATCTACAGAACTCTCCACCCCAAATCAACAGAATATACATTTTTTTCAGCACCACACCACATCTATTCCAAAATTGACCACATACTTGGAAGTAAAGCTCTCCTCAGCAAATGTAAAAGAACAGAAATTATAACAAACTCTCTCTCAGACCACAGTGCAATCAAACTAGAACTCAGGATTAAGAATCTCACTCAAAACCGCTCAACTACATGGAAACTGAACAACCTGCTCCTGAATGACTACTGGGTACATAACGAAATGAAAGCAGAAATAAAGATGTTCTTTGAAACCAACAAGAACAAAGACACAACATACCAGAATCTCTGGGACGCATTCAAAGCAGTGTGTAGAGGGAAATTTATAGCACTAAATGCCCACAAGAGAAAGCAGGAAAGATCCAAAATTGACACCCTAACATCACAATTAAAACAACTAGAAAAGCAAGAGCAAACACATTCAAAAGCTAGCAGAAGGCAAGAAATAACTAAAATCAGAGCAGAACTGAAGGAAATAGAGACACAAAAAACCCTTCAAAAAATTAATGAATCCAGGAGCTGGTTTTTTGAAAGGATCAACAAAATTGATAGACCGCTAGCAAGACTAATAAAGAAAAAAAGAGAGAAGAATCAAATAGACGCAATAAAAAATGATAAAGGGGATATCACCACCGATCCCACAGAAATACAAACTACCATCAGAGAATACTACAAACACCTCTATGCAAATAAACTAGAAAATCTAGAAGAAATGGATAAATTCCTCGACACATACACTCTCCCAAGACTAAACCAGGAAGAAGTTGAATCTCTGAATAGACCAATAAGAAGAGCTGAAATTGTGGCAACAATCAATAGCTTACCAATGAAAAAGAGTCCAGGACCAGATGGATTCACAGCCGAATTCTATCAGAGGTACAAGGAGGAACTGGTACCATTCCTTCTGAAACTATTCCAATCAATAGAAAAAGAGGGAATCCTCCCTAACTCATTTTATGAGGCCAGCATCATTCTGATACCAAAGCCGGGCAGAGACACAACCAAAAAAGAGAATTTTAGACCAATATCCTTGATGAACATTGATGCAAAAATCCTCAATAAAATACTGGCAAAACGAATCCAGCAGCACATCAAAAAGCTTATCCACCATGATCAAGTGGGCTTCATCCCTGGGATGCAAGGCTGGTTCAATATACGCAAATCAATAAATGTAATCCAGCATATAAACAGAGCCAAAGACAAAAACCACATGATTCTCTCAATAGATGCAGAAAAAGCCTTTGACAAAATTCAACAACGCTTCATGCTAAAAACTCTCAATAAATTAGGTATTGATGGGACGTATCTCAAAATAATAAGAGCTATCTATGACAAACCCACAGCCAATATCATACTGAATGGGCAAAAACTGGAAGCATTCCCTTTGAAAACTGGCACAAGACAGGGATGCCCTCTCTCACCACTCCTATTCAACATAGTGTTGGAAGTTCTGGCCAGGGCAATTAGGCAGGAGAAGGAAATAAAGGGTATTCAATTAGGAAAAGAGGAAGTCAAACTGTCCCTGTTTGCAGACGACATGATTGTATATCTAGAAAACCCCACTGTCTCAGCCCAAAATCTCCTTAAGCTCATAAGCAACTTCAGCAAAGTCTCAGGATACAAAATCAATGTACAAAAATCACAAGCATTCTTATACACCAATAACAGACAAACAGAGAGCCAAATCATGAGTGAACTCCCATTCACAATTGCTTCAAAGAGAATAAAATACCTAGGAATCCAACTTACAAGGGATGTGAAGGACCTCTTCAAGGAGAACTACAAACCACTGCTCAAGGAAATAAAAGAGGATACAAACAAATGGAAGAACATTCCATGCTCATGGGTAGGAAGAATCAATATTGTGAAAATGGCCATACTGCCCAAGGTAATTTACAGATTCAATGCCATCCCCATCAAGCTACCAATGACTTTCTTCACAGAATTGGAAAAAACTACTTTAAAGTTCATATGGAACCAAAAAAGAGCCCGCATCGCCAAGTCAATCCTGAGCCAAAAGAACAAAGCTGGAGGCATCACACTACCTGACTTCAAACTATACTACAAGGCTACAGTAACCAAAACAGCATGGTACTGGTACCAAAACAGAGATATAGATCAATGGAAGAGAACAGAGCCGTCAGAAATAACGCCGCATATCTACAACTATCTGATCTTTGACAAACCTGAGAAAAACAAGCAATGGGGAAAGGATTCCCTATTTAATAAATGGTGCTGGGAAAGCTGGCTAGCCATATGTAGAAAGCTGAAACTGGATCCCTTCCTTACACCTTATACAAAAATCAATACAAGATGGATTAAAGACTTAAACGTTAGACCTAAAACCATAAAAACCCTAGAAGAAAACCTAGGCGTCACCATTCAGGACATAGGCATGGGCAAGGACTTCATGTCTAAAACACCAAAAGCAATGGCAACAAAAGCCAAAATTGACAAATGGGATCTAATTAAACAAAAGAGCTTCTGCACAGCAAAAGAAACTACCATCAGAGTGAACAGGCAACCTACAAAATGGGAGAAAATTTTCGCAACCTACTCATCTGACAAAGGGCTAATATCCAGAATCTACAAAGAACTCAAACAAATTTACAAGAAAAAAACAAACAACCCCATCAACAAGTGGGCGCAGGATATGAACAGACACTTCTCAAAAGAAGACATTTATGCAGCCAAAAAACACATGAAAAAATGCTCATCATCACTGGCCATCAGAGAAATGCAAATCAAAACCACAACGAGATACCATCTCACACCAGTTAGAATGGCAATCATTAAAAAGTCAGGAAACAACAGGTGCTGGAGAGGATGTGGAGAAATAGGAACACTTTTACACTGTTGGTGGGACTGTCAACTAGTTCAACCATTGTGGAAGTCAGTGTGGCGATTCCTCGGGGATCTAGAACTAGAAATACCATTTGACCCAGCCATCCCATTACTGGGTATATACCCAAAGGACTATAAATCATGCTGCTATAAAGACACATGCACACGTATGTTTATTGAGGCATTATTCACAATAGCAAAGACTTGGAACCAACCCAAATGTCCAACAATGATAGACTGGATTAAGAAAATGTGGCACATATACACCATGGAATACTATGCAGCCATAAAAAATGATGAGTTCATGTCCTTTGTAGGGACATGGATGAAATCGGAAATCATCATTCTCAGTAAACTATTGCAAGAACAAAAAACCAAACACCGCATATTCTCACTCATAGGTGGGAATTGAACAATGAGATCACATGGACACAGGAAGGGGAATATCACACTCTGGGGACTGTTGTGGGGTGGGGGGAGGGGGGAGGGATAGCATTGGGAGATATACCTAATGCTAGATGACGAGTTACTGGGTGCAGCGTACCAGCATGGCACATGTATACATATGTAACTAACGTGCACAATGTGCACATGTACCCTAAAACTTAAAGTATAAAACAAAAAAAAAAGAAATGCTACTGATTTTTGTACACTGATTTTGTATCCTGAAACTTTACTGAATTTTTTTAAACAAATGAAACTGCAAATACAGCATACCCAAACCAGTGAGATATAGCAAAAGCAATGTTGAGAGAATTTTATAGCATTAAATGCCTACATCAACAAAGTAGAAAAATAACAAATGAAAAATAATCTAATGTGACACCTCAAGAAACTAGAGAAGCAAGAAGGAACCAACCTGAAATTAGCAGAAGAAAAGAGAGATCCGGGCAGAATAAATTGAGACCCCCCCCCACACAAAAATACAAAAGATCAGTAAGATAAAAAGTTGACTCTGAAAAGATAAACAAAATTGACAAACTGCTAGCTAAATTACCCAAGAGATAAGATCCAAATAAACAAAATCAGAAATGTAAAAGCAGACATTACAACTGATATCACAGAAATACAAAAGAGCATCAGAGACTATGATGATCAACTATATTCTCACAAACTAGAAAACCTAGACGAAATGGATAAATTCCTGGAAACATAAAACCTTCCAAGATTGAACGAACCACTGGCCTTTCTTCCCTATCTAACTCTTCCAAATCAGAATTTAAGTATTTAAGCATGCTAAAGATTCTTCTATTTTGAAAATTTGTCTGGCATACACATCCACTTGCCGTCACAGTAACTACTAAACTTCATGAATAATCATATACAGAAGAGAAGAAAGATATAAAGATATAATGATTTTATTAAACAGTGACTGACAGCTGATGATGTGTGAGGTGCCAAATTATGACTGATATTCAGAATACAACCTTGGTTAATGTAAACTGGCAGAATGTGTTTTTCTAATTAGCAAAACTTTCCAAATAGCTAAGGGTTTACCATTTAAGTATAAAAACATTTCTTTTATAGTCATTTTGAAAGGAAATATTCCCGAACAGTGTTATAAGCTTTCCTGCCTTTTAAAATATAATAAATGAAACTTTATTCTTTTCCTGATAATACACAATAATTACTGTGATAATAATGTATTTTAATTCAAGAATGGTGCTTCAAAATGCCAGGTGCATTCAAAATCAGAAATGTAAAAGGAGACATTACAACTGATATCACAGAAATACAAAAGAGCATCAGAGACTATGATGATCAACTATATGCTCACAAACTGGAAAACCTAGAGAAAATGGATAAATTCCTGGAAACACAACCTCCCAAGATTGAACCATTGGCCTTTCTTCCCTTTCCAGCAACTCCTCCAAATCAGAATTTAGCTTGGCCAGAATGTAACGCCAGTTGCTTCTATGCTAACTATATCAGCAAGAGTTACACGGTTTTTTAGTTATCCATTTTTTTCTTCATTATTTGTGCTCTCTATAAAGTCTGTTGTCAGTTCTTACTGCCATAAGCTCCTTGTGGTAGTCTGTTTCTTCACTTATAATTTGATGCTTTTATTATATTTCTTTTCTAAAACTGGATAACCAAATACATTAGAATTATGTATAATATAAAAGTAGAGCTTCAGAGGCACCCTCTCTAGGTAATCAATAAATAGTTGTTGCATTTGGAACAAAAATACAAAAGCTAGGCTACAATCCATAAACATTTGACTAGTATCAAGAGAAAAAACACAAAATGCCACATTTTTAAAACCATAATGACAAACCACGAAAAAAAGACACATAGGCTTGACTTATTCCCTGGCCCACAATGACATTCTAGCTAGAAGCAACTTTTTGAATCCTGCCTCTTTTACTACTAATTCTCATTTGTATATTGCATTATTTTGATGTCAAAATATTCACAATAATTTATTACTAGAAGAAAGTAAGGACACTGATTCCATACATTTTCAAAATTACTTTAAGATTTAAAACCCAACCAAAGAAAATGATTCCAACAAGAAATTATTTTTCAAAGTGGAACTAGAGCCAACTGCCAACTTGATAAAGACACAGAAGAGCAAATAATGATGTATTAAGACAGCATAATTATAACTGTGGTGTTAGTCTTCACCTTATGTATTTACACTACATGAAATATAATATTACCTAGTTCTTTTACAAATAATTAAAACTAACTTTCAAGTGTTAGCTCTTTTTTAGAGACGGGATCTCACTCTGTAGCCCAGGCTGGAGTGCAGTGTTGGGATTGTAATATTAGCTTTTTGACATGGTTAGAAATATATCCACATTTCCATTATTGACATAACTACCAAATAAGCATCCAACAAAGTCAACAGTCCTTTGACACTCAGCCTACTAATGATTAAATAACCATTAAGTTTAACTTCAGGGAAAAATCTCAAGTAAAATACATCCTACTACAGGAACTCTAAGGTGACTGTATTTCTAAACTCTTAGGTGACAGTATTTCTAAAAGTTGTTCTTCTATTAAATCATGTACCACTGCAATACTAAAAAGTCAGCAGCTAAACAGATATGCTCAATAAATCATGCTAACTAACCAAGCCTGTTTAAAAAAGAGGGGAGGGGAGTAAGACAAGACCCACCAATGGAATTCCATAAAATCATATTAAAATCTTGTGAGTTATCATGACAACAGAACCAAATTCTTTCATTTCCAGATTATTTGAGTCCCTTAAGTTGATTTCTTGTCTTCTTTGTTCCTCACAAAAGATTTGAGAATTAAAACTAACATATTAGAGAGAGAAGTTTATGGCACAAGAATGAGTCATTCTTTCATAAGTGATTGTTTCTTCAAGGGAAAAAAAAAAAACAACTGCATGGCCTGGGAAAAGAGAAGAAATCACTGAGGTCGAGTCACAGAATTGAGAAAACCTCATCTTAAACACTGAAAATGGAAGTGGATATTTCAGATGCCATAAATAGCATGAGATCTGACCTGTCAGCAACCAAAATTTAGGACAGTTTTTAATTCTACACTTTCTTACCATCTAAGTAAATAAAAATAAACTTTAATGTTGGCTTTGACAAACAGGTGGCAATGTTTTTCATTAGAATATTTGTATGTCCAAAAGAATCGGGAGCATTATAACTAATTCCTGTCATCTGTGTTTTGTAATATAGATAATTTAACATTAAACTACTGAGAGACATAAGTACCTTTTATCATTTGTCTGTACAATACCTTTAAGAAAACTATTTAACAAAAATTATTCTTTTTCGAGAAAACTGCTATTTCACGATGTTAAGATTTCTAGTTTCTCTTTTTTTTTTTTTTTTTTTGAGACGGAGTCTCACTCTGTCGCCCAGGCTGGAGTGCAGTGGTGCGATCTCGGCTCACTGCAAGCTCTGCCTCCCGGGTTCTCCTGCCTCATCCTCCTGAGTAGCTGGGACTACAGGCACCTGCCACCATGCCGGCTAATTTTTTGTATTTTTAGTAGAGACAGGATTTCACCATGTTAGCCAGGATGGTATCGACCTCCTGACCTCGTGATCTGCCCGCCTCGGCCTCCCAAAGTGCTGGGATTACAGGCGTGAGCCACCACGCCCGGCCTCTAGTTTCTATCTTTAGTGTTAATGGGTCATGCATATTATGCCAAGATGTAAAAAATCCTAATTCCTACCTGAATTCCTTGATAGAAAAGAGATAAGGATAGGAATTAGAAGCAGGACTCAAGACTATTCTCCCATATGACATTGACTTATGTGTAATTTTATGTATTCAATATTTAAAGTACGGCATGAATTACAGACTGATTTTTTAAAGGTGCTATTAAAACATTGCTAGTTTTATTAAAGCAAGCTAATAACATGCTCATGCCATTTGTTAAACATGAGGTTCTAGTTATACACTAAAATATACTGAAAGAATATCATCATTTTTGAAATTTAAAAATATTTATATTCAATTCTTGATTCTGTGCACTACAAATTAATCACATGTTCCAGGAAACCTGCCCCAGGATCTGACTGCCCCTGTAACCACAGTTCTAGATGATAAAACCTGAAGATGACAATTTCTCCGCAGCTCGGTCATTGCTGTCACCATTCTGACATTCTTAAAAAGTGATCTCTACCAAAAAAAGTGGAGAAAGCCAACAAAAAAGGACAACAAAAATAAGAGATGAAAGATGGTCCCCCCACCTCCACGTCCAAGACATCATTTTATTCATCATCCTTTTTTGTGCTTGTTTTTTAAATATTATTGTTGCAAAATCAAAATCACAGACATCAATGGGAACAACAGAATATATCTAAATTTTGTAGGCAATTTTGTATAATAGTGAAAAGGGGGTTTCTGGAATTCCATGCACTTGACTTCAAGTCCCAAATATGAGACTCCAGAAAACAAATATTTATTGAATGCTATTATGTGTTAGTGACTATACTAGATAGAATATATTGGTGAGCCAATCATATGAGACTTACAGAATAGTGGGAAAGACACTAACTAAAGCATTACTCAAAGAACTGTCAAGTTATAGCTGTGATGGCAATTTGAGATGCTAACAGAGGGAGTAAACGAGTCAGAGGTAAAGGCTTCCCTGAAAGAGTTATGATAAAGATGAGATTTGTATGAATATTCTGTTTAATCAACTAGATAAAGGGGGATAAAAGGTGGCAAAAAAAAAAAGTGGAAACAGCAAATGCAGTCTGTGGCAGCAGAAAGCACATTAATTTGAGAAACTGAATGAAAATCAACACGGATGGAGCAGAGGAAGCAAAACAAAAGAGTGTGATTCAAGATGAGTCTAAAGAGGTAGTGACCAGGCCATTCCAGGTCTTGTTAGGCCACATTTAAAAATGTGGTCTTTAGCCTAACAGCAACAAAATACCATTCAAAATGTTTAAACCTAGGGACTAAAGGATGAGATGCACATTTTGAACAAAAAAATTATTCTGGTTTCAGTGAGATAAGAGTTAAGAAAGAAGTGAAAGAGGATAAGAAGGAATGCTAGAAAACTAGTTAGAAGGCTATTTGGTAGACCAGATAAGAAACAAAGATAGCGGGTTGAGGAGCCAAGATGGCCAAATAGGAACTGCTCCGGTCTACAGCTCCCAGCGTGAGCGACGCAGAAGACGGGTGATTTGTGCATTTCCATCTGAGGTACCGGGTTCATCTCACTAGGGAGTGCCAGACAGTGGGCGCAGGCCAGTGGGTGCGCGCACCATGCGTGAGCCGAAGCAGGGCAAGGCATTGCCTCACTTGGGAAGTGCAAGGGGTCAGGGAGTTCCCTTTCTGAGTCAAAGAAAGGGGTGACGGACGCACCTGGAAAATCGAGTCACTCCCACCCAAATATTGCGCTTTTCAGACCGGCTTAAAAAACGGCACACTACGAGATTATATCCCGCACCTGGCTCGGAGGGTCCTACGCCCACGGAGTCTCGCTGATTGCTACCACAGCAGCTGAGATCAAACTGCAAGGCGGCAGCGAGGCTAGGGGAGGGGCGCCTGCCATTGCCCAGGCTTGCTCAGGTAAACAAAGCAGCCAGGAAGCTCGAACTGGGTGGAGCCCACCACAGCTCAAGGAGGACTGCCTGCCTCTGTAGGCTCCACCTCTGGGGGCAGGGCACAGACAAACAAAAAGACAGCAGTAACCTTCGCAGACTTAAATGCCCCTGTCTGACAGCTTTGAAGACAGCAGTGGTTCTCCCAGCACGCAGCTGAAGATCTGAGAACGGGCAGACTGCCTCCTCAAGTGGGTCCCTGACCCCTGACCCCCGAGCAGCCTAACTGGGAGGCACCCCCCAGGAGGGGCAGACTGACACCTCACATGGCTGGGTACTTCAACAGACCTGCAGCTGAGGGTCCTGTCTGTTAGAAGGAAAACTAACAACAGAAAGGACATCCACACCAAAAACCCATCTGTACATCACCATCATCAAAGACCAAAAGTAGATAAAACCACAAAGATGGGGAAAAAACAGAACAGAAAAACTGGAAACTCTAAAAAGCAGAGCGCCTCTCCTCCTCCAAAGGAACGCAGTTCCTCACCAGCAACGGAACAAAGCTGGATGGAGAATGACTTTGACGAGCTGAGAGAAGAAGGCTTCAGACGATCAAATTACTCCGACCTACGGGAGGACACTCGAACCAAAGGCAAAGAAGTTGAAAACTTTGAAAAAAATTTAGCAGAATGTATAACTAGAACAACCAATACAGAGAAGTGCTTAAAGGAGCTGATGGAGCTGAAAACCAAGGCTCGAGAACTACGTGAAGAATGCAGAAGCCTCAGGAGCTGATGCGATCAACTGGAAGAAAGGGTATCAGCAATGGAAGATGAACTGAATGAAATGAAACGAGAAGGGAAGTTTAGAGAAAAAAGAATAAAAAGAAATGAGCAAAGCCTCCAAGAAATATGGGACTATGTGAAAAGACCAAATCTACGTCGGATTGGTGTACCTGAAAGTGACGGGGAGAATGGAACCAAGTTGGAAAACACTCTGCAGGATATTATCCAGGAGAACTTCCCCAAACTAGCAAGGCAGGCCAACGTTCAGATTCAGGAAATACAGAGAACGCCACAAACATACTCCTCGAGAAGAGCAACACCAAGACACATAATTGTCAGATTCACCAAAGTTGAAATGAAGGAAAAAATGTTAAGGGCAGCCAGAGAGAAAGGTTGGGTTACCCTCAAAGGGAAGCCCATCAGACTAACAGCAGATCTCTCGGCAGAAACTCTACAAGCCAGAAGAGAGTGGGGGCCAATATTCAACATTCTTAAAGAAAAGAATTTTCAACCCAGAATTTCATATCCAGCCAAACTAAGCTTCCTAAGTGAAGGAGAAATAAAATACTTTACAGACAAGCAAATGCTGAGAGATTCTGTCACCACCAGGCCTGCCCTAAAAGAGCTCCTGAAGGAAGTGCTAAACATGGAAAGGAACAACCGGTACCAGCCGCTGCAAAATCATGCCAAAATGTAAAGACCATCGAGACTAGGAAGAAACTGCATCAACTAACGAGCAAAATCACCAGCTAACATCATAATGACAGGATCAAATTCACACATAACAATATTAACTTTAAATGTAAATGGACTAAATGCTCCAATTAAAAGACACAGACTGGCAAATTGGATAAAGAGTCAAGAACCATCAGTGTGCTGTATTCAGGAAACCCATCTCACGGGCAGAGACACACATAGGCTCAAAATAAAAGGATGGAGGAAGATCTACCAAGCAAATGGAAAACAAAAAAAGGCAGGGGTTGCAATCCTAGTCTCTGATAAAACAGACTTTAAACCAACAAAAATCAAAAGAGACAAAGAAGGCCATTACTTAATGGTAAAGGGATCAATTCAACAAGAAGAGCTAACTATCCTAAATATATATGCACCCAATACAGGAGCACCCAGATTCATAAAGCAAGTCCTCAGTGACTTACAAAGAGACTTAGACTCCCACACATTAATAATGGGAGACTTTAACACCCCACTGTCAACATTAGACAGATCAACGAGACAGAAGGTCAACAAGGATACCCAGGAATTGAACTCAGCTCTGCACCAAGCGGACCTAATATACATCTACAGAACTCTCCACCCCAAATCAACAGAATATACATTTTTTTCAGCACCACACCACACCTATTCCAAAATTGACCACATACTTGGAAGTAAAGCTCTCCTCAGCAAATGTAAAAGAACAGAAATTATAACAAATTCTCTCTCAGACCACAGTGCAATCAAACTAGAACTCAGGATTAAGAATCTCACTCAAAACCGCTCAACTACATGGAAACTGAACAACCTGCTCCTGAATGACTACTGGGTACATAACGAAATGAAGGCAGAAATAAAGATGTTCTTCGAAACCAACAAGAACAAAGACACAACATACCAGAATCTCTGGGACGCATTCAAAGCAGTGTGTAGAGGGAAATTTATAGCACTAAATGCCCACAAGAGAAAGCAGGAAAGATCCAAAATTGACACCCTAACATCACAATTAAAACAACTAGAAAAGCAAGAGCAAACACATTCAAAAGCTAGCAGAAGGCAAGAAATAACTAAAATCAGAGCAGAACTGAAGGAAATAGAGACACAAAAAACCCTTCAAAAAATTAATGAATCCAGGAGCTGGTTTTTTGAAAGGATCAACAAAATTGATAGACCGCTAGCAAGACTAATAAAGAGAGAAGAATCAAATAGACGCAATAAAAAATGATAAAGGGGATATCACCACCGATCCCACAGAAATACAAACTACCATCAGAGAATACTACAAACACATCTACGCAAATAAACTAGAAAATCTAGAAGAAATGGATAAATTCCTCGACACATACACTCTCCCAAGACTAAACCAGGAAGAAGTTGAATCTCTGAATAGACCAATAACAGGAGCTGAAATTGTGGCAATAATCAATAGCTTACCAATGAAAAAGAGTCCAGGACCAGATGGATTCACAGCCAAATTCTACCAGAGGTACAAGGAGGAACTGGTACCATTCCTTCTGAAACTATTCCAATCAATAGAAAAAGAGGGAATCCTCCCTAACTCATTTTATGAGGCCAGCATCATTCTGATACCAAAGCCGGGCAGAGACACAACCAAAAAAGAGAATTTTAGACCAATATCCTTGATGAACATTGATGCAAAAATCCTCAATAAAATACTGGCAAAACGAATCCAGCAGCACATAAAAAACCTTATCCACCATGATCAAATGGGCTTCATCCCTGGGATGCAAGGCTGGTTCAATATACGCAAATCAATAAATGTAATCCAGCATATAAACAGAGCCAAAGACAAAAACCACATGATTATCTCAATAGATGCAGAAAAGGCCTTTGACAAAATTCAACAACCCTTCATGCTAAAAACTCTCAATAAATTAGGTATTGATGGGACGTATCTCAAAATAATAAGAGCTATCTATGACAAACCCACAGCCAATATCATACTGAATGGGCAAAAACTGGAAGCATTCCCTTTGAAAACTGGCACAAGACAGGGATGCCCTCTCTCACCACTCCTATTCAACATAGTGTTGGAAGTTCTGGCCAGGGCAATTAGGCAGGAGAAGGAAATAAAGGGTATTCAATTAGGAAAAGAGGAAGTCAAACTGTCCCTGTTTGCAGATGACATGATTGTATATCTAGAAAACCCCACTGTCTCAGCCCAAAATCTCCTTAAGCTCATAAGCAACTTCAGCAAAGTCTCAGGATACAAAATCAATGTACAAAAATCACAAGCATTCTTATACACCAATAACAGACAAACAGAGAGCCAAATCATGAGTGAACTCCCATTCACAATTGCTTCAAAGAGAATAAAATACCTAGGAATCCAACTTACAAGGGATGTGAAGGACCTCTTCAAGGAGAACTACAAACCACTGCTCAAGGAAATAAAAGAGGATACAAACAAATGGAAGAACATTCCATGCTCATGGGTAGGAAGAATCAATATTGTGAAAATGGCCATACTGCCCAAGGTAATTTACAGATTCAATGCCATCCCCATCAAGCTACCAATGACTTTCTTCACAGAATTGGAAAAAACTACTTTAAAGTTCATATGGAACCAAAAAAGAGCCCGCATCGCCAAGTCAATCCTGAGCCAAAAGAACAAAGCTGGAGGCATCACACTACCTGACTTCAAACTATACTACAAGGCTACAGTAACCAAAACAGCATGGTACTGGTACCAAAACAGAGATATAGATCAATGGAAGAGAACAGAGCCGTCAGAAATAACGCCGCATATCTACAACTATCTGATCTTTGACAAACCTGAGAAAAACAAGCAATGGGGAAAGGATTCCCTATTTAATAAATGGTGCTGGGAAAGCTGGCTAGCCATATGTAGAAAGCTGAAACTGGATCCCTTCCTTACACCTTATACAAAAATCAATACAAGATGGATTAAAGACTTAAACGTTAGACCTAAAACCATAAAAACCCTAGAAGAAAACCTAGGCGTCACCATTCAGGACATAGGCATGGGCAAGGACTTCATGTCTAAAACACCAAAAGCAATGGCAACAAAAGCCAAAATTGACAAATGGGATCTAATTAAACAAAAGAGCTTCTGCACAGCAAAAGAAACTACCATCAGAGTGAACAGGCAACCTACAAAATGGGAGAAAATTTTCGCAACCTACTCATCTGACAAAGGGCTAATATCCAGAATCTACAAAGAACTCAAACAAATTTACAAGAAAAAAACAAACAACCCCATCAACAAGTGGGCGGAGGATATGAACAGACACTTCTCAAAAGAAGACATTTATGCAGCCAAAAAACACATGAAAAAATGCTCACCATCACTGGCCATCAGAGAAATGCAAATCAAAACCACAATGAGATACCATCTCACAGCAGTTAGAATGGCAATCATTAAAAAGTCAGGAAACAACAGGTGCTGGAGAGGATGTGGAGAAATAGGAACACTTTTACACTGTTGGTGGGACTGTCAACTAGTTCAACCATTGTGGAAGTCAGTGTGGCGATTCCTCGGGGATCTACAACTAGAAATACCATTTGACCCAGCCATCCCATTACTGGGTATATACCCAAAGGACTATAAATCATGCTGCTATAAAGACACATGCACACGTATGTTTATTGCGGCACTATTCACAATAGCAAAGACTTGGAACCAACCCAAATGTCCAACAATGATAGACTGGATTAAGAAAATGTGGCACATATACACCATGGAATACTATGCAGCCGTAAAAAATGATGAGTTCATGTCCTTTGTAGGGACATGGATGAAATTGGAAATCATCATTCTCAGTAAACTATTGCAAGAACAAAAAACCAAACACCGCGTATTCTCACGCATAGGTGGGAATTGAACAATGAGAACACATGGATACAGGAAGGGGAACATCACATTCTGGGGACTGTTGTGGGGTGGAGGGAGGAGGGAGGGATAGCACTGGGAGATATACCTAATGCTAGATGACGAGTTAGTGGGTGCAGCGCACCAGCATGGCACATGTATACATATGTAACTAACCTGCACATTGTGCACATGTACCCTAAAGCTTAAAGTATAATAATAATAAATAAATAAATAAAAATAAAATAAAGTTACAAAATGTTTAAATTATAAAGTCAATAAATATATATTGTAACAAAAAAAAAGAAAGATAGCATCGATAGTGTGATGGCAACAGGAACAAAGAGAAGTAGATTGGGCATAGGAAGACAAGATTGGTGACAGACTGGATGTGGAGAACAAAGGAGAGATCATTCTCCCTCATCTGATGACTACTAGCTTTCTAATCTAGGTTAGATAGTAGTACTACACAATGGTATAGGAAATACTGAAAACAAGCCAGATTCGTTAAAGAGATACGTGATCCTGGGCAAGCTACTGAATATCTCTGAGCAACAGTTTTTATTAAATGGGGTTAATTATACCCTGTTGAGAGACAATTATAAGTATTATGGTATGAAAAGGATCTGGCACCTAGCAAGTCCTCAAAAATTTGTAGTTATTACTATTTTCTCCCAGATTCTCCCAAGATTGTGTTCTCAAATGAGGCAATTTTGCTTCCTGCCCCTTATTTGGGACATCTGGCAATATCTGGAGACATTTCTGGCTGTCACAACTTAGGGTGAGAGGGGTTGCTATTGGTATTTGCTGGCCAGAGGCCAGGGATGCTACTAAATCTTCTATGGTTCACAGACAGTCCTTCTACAACAAAGACTTAACCAGCCCAAAATATCAATAGCGCTAAGGCTGTGAAGCCATGTTCAAGAGGGATTCTGATTCTGATAACTGCACATGAAAAGTTCTTTTGTATCCACTAATAACAACCATCCACATGAGTTAGGGAGTTAAACTGATTTACTACTGATAACCTGTTCAATCAGTTTCCAAATTCAAGCCTGGTTACAGAAGTTGTTACCAGAAGTGAATTCATAACCTACATTTTAAACATACAAAAATATTAATGTCTTCTAACCATGAAAGCTAATTTGTTTTCCCATTTTGATGTCTGCATAAAGAAAAACCTGAAATACTACAAATTAACTGTCATTTTATTAAGAATCAGATACTCAGCCGGGCGCGGTGGCTCACGCCTGTAATCCCAGCACTTTGGGAGGCCGAGGCAGGTGGATCACGAGCTCAGGAGATTGAGACCATCCTGGCTAACACAGTGAAACCCCATCTCTACTAAAAATACAAAAAAAATTAGCCGGGCATGGTTGCAGGCCCCTATAGTCCCAGCTATTCGGGAGGCTGAGGCAGGAGAATGGCCTGAGCTTGCAGTGAGCTGAGATCGTACCACTGCCCTCCAACCTGGGCGACAGAGCGAGACACCGTCTCAAAAAAAAAAAAAAAAAAAAAAAAAATCAGATACTAAGATCCTTGAATAAAAACTCTATGAAAACTAGAGGCTTATTTTAGTGTCATTATATAGAAAAAAAATGGTTTGCAATGAATCTATTTAATAAGTGCTGCATTATTACACAAGGATTACCAACAATGAAAAATAGACTGCAGTCTAATTCTTACAAAACCATTTCAAATTTTATGACAATGTTTATTAAATCAAAATTTTAATCAAAACTGTGAAACTATCCTTCAAGCTCCAAGCCCTTAAATCCATTGGAAATAGATGAATTCATTGATTAAATATAAACTTCATATCATTTTGGACTCTATGGATAGTGAAGCTATTAAACCACTATGCTCAACTGTCAACAATTTAAACTTTGATTAAAATCTGAGAGAACTGTCCAAAAGACCTCATAAAATCTCACCAGGGTCAAGAACTGGGACCTGATCACAACTGATACCACTTCACACCAAGGATAGCTTTTACAAAAAACAAAACAAAATAAAAAAAAATAAGTGTTGGCAAGAATGTGGAGACACTGTTGGAACCTATGTGCATTCCTAGTGGGAGTGTAAAATTGTTCAAACTGTGGGAAATAGTTTGGTGGTTCCTCAAAAAGTCAAACATAGGGTTACCATATGGTCTAGCAATTCCATGTCTAGATATTAATATATACCCAAACAAATTGAAAGCAGAGACTTGCACACCAATGTTCCTAAGAGCATTATTCACACAGCCAAAAGATGGAAGCAACCCAAGTGTCCATGAACAAATGAATGGAGTTTTTAAATGTGTTATATACATATAATAGAGTTATTCAGCCTTAAAAAGCAATGAAATTCTGAAACATGCTAAATACTTGCAAAACTTGAAAACATTATGTTAAGCGAAATAAATCAGATACAAAAGGACAAGTATTATATGATTCTACTTATCATTAATTACCTAGAACAGGCAAATTCACAGAGACAGAAAGAGGTGACCAGGGGGCTGGGGTAAATGGAAGTGAGCAGGACAGTGGGAAGGAGAACTACTGTTTAATGGGTATAGAGCTTCTGTCTGAGATAATGAAAAAATGTTCTGGAAATGGATAGTGGTGATGGTTGCAAAATATTTCAATTTATTAATACTTAATGCCACTGAATTGTATACTGTAAATGGTTAAAATGGTAAATTTTATGTTATGTATATTTTGCCATAAAAAACCCAACTAGGACCTGAACGAAAAAACATTAAATAAATTCTTCTTATGATCCCACCTTCCTCCCACTCCCATCACCTATAGGTGAGGTTCAGAAAAACAAAAATTATTTTGTTCAGCAGCCTGAACTGGATTCAAGCTTACATCTTTTGGAAAATGAATAAACTAAGTCAATATTTATCTTATTCGGTTCTACAAAAAGGCAAAATATCACGTTATTATTTTATGACATACAAATTTCAAATTTCCTTTAGGGGATATCACAGGAACATATAAATGATTTCATACTCTTGGATTTGGCCTCTTGCAAAGATAATTTCACTGTGTATCTATTAAAGTCTATGAGAATGAAAATGACCAAGGGGCTGCTGCAATAAGCTGGCAATTTCAATATTCCTTACCTTATTCTAATCATACATTTAAGAATGGTATATCACTTAATCTCTCAAAATCTGATATTAGTAGTTTACTGAGAATAAAAAAGTAGAGGATTTCAAGTGTATATTATTAGAGAAACATGTAATATATATCCTAAAGACTACTTCCGGGGAAAATATATTAAGCCTTAAGTGTTACAAACAAGAGAAAATAAATCAGTAAAAATACAAACACTTTATTAGACAATAAAATCATCTTTTTTTAATAACTTAAGGTAAAATCCTAATTACTGGAGTCTTTTTTTCTCTCCCTTATCATTCCCCTCTTACACCTTTCATTTTTCCTCCCCTCCGGCCCATGTTTAATGGTCTATTAGTACAAAAAGGATAAAATTACTGCCCACAGTCTCAACAAAATTAATGAGGAAAGATGTATATAGATCTCTTGAAGATGTGCCTGAGTTTACGTTGCCAAGGTAACACTGACGTCTTAAATTTTAAATGGAAGAGTTTATATTTAAAGAATGCTGGAGTCAATAGAATGTATTTTAAGAAAGAGCAAAGCATACACAGCTTATTATTCCCAAATAGCAATAAACGATACATGGAAATTGGACAAAGACAATTAAATTTAGGCAACAGTCAACAACTATCCATTAACATGAGTCATTTGAATGACAGTACTGTTTAATGTGGACTGAAAAGTAAAGCTGAAGCTTCTGGTGCTGGCTTTTGCAACTCATTAGCTGTGGGGACTAGGAAAGTTACTTAGCCTTGCGTTAAGTCATTTAATTCTCTCAAAGTCTCAGTTCCCTCAGCTGTAAGATGTGAAAGGTGAAACAAGATTAGTAAGGTCCCTTTCCAAATCTAAAATTCTTTGGCTCTATGATTTCGAAGGAAGAAATTTCTTTATCCAAAATAAGTTACTATATACCTATTATGTTCTAGAACATAATAAAGTAACATAACATAGTAAACATACTGGCACATCTATGGTAAGAAAATTAGACCAACATACACTTCTGTGGTGTTATGATATGCGTTGGTTTTCATTCACAGTTCCTGATTCATAACTCCCATAGCTATTGTTACAGTCTTGTATTACAATGTTGGGTATCTCAAGCCTCAGAGGCAGGCCTCAGGAAACAGAGTCTCTCTCCTGCCCTCCTTTCACCTGCCCCAAGGCAGGACTCTAATCTTCTCCTACCTTTTTTATTGTGGGTCTTAAGACCATCCCCAGAGAGGGTCACACCCTATGCAATGGGGGAAGGAATACTGAAGTCAAAAAGCCTTCATAAAAACCCAAGAGGACTGGGTTCAGAGAGTTTCTGGATACCTGAACACGTAGAGGTTCCTGGAGGGTGGCACTCCCAGGGATGGCAAGGAAGCGTGCTCTGCACCCCCATACCTCGCCCTACGCGTCTCTTCACCTATATCCTTTATGATAACCTTTATAATAAACCAGTAAATGTAATTTAAGTGTTTCCCTGAATTCTGTGAGCTGTTCCAGCAAATTAATCGTACCCGAAGTGGGGGGGTCATGTGAACCCCAACTTGAAGCTGGGTGGTCAGAAGTTCTGGAAGCCCAGACTTGTGACTGGTACCAGTCTGGGCATCTGGAGGACAGACTTGGGGACTGAGACCCCAACCTGTGGAATCAGACACTATCTCCAGGTAGACAGTGTTGGAACTGAATTAGAGGACATCTTGCCAGTGTCCACTGCTCGGTGCGTGGAGAAAAAAACCCACACATTTGGTCACAGAAGTCTTCTGTGCTGATGACTGTGATTTAAGAGTAGAGGAAAAACACACTTTAAAAGAGAGTTTTTCTCTACACATCTTTTTCAGGGTATTTTGTATTCCCCTCTTTTCATTAATTATGTAGTACATATTCAAAAAAACTGAAAAATATAGAAAGGATAAAAAAACCAAGAATCATAATTCCCCTATACAAACACAATTAAGTTCATATTTGTCATGAGATACCTTTCTTGGTTTTGTTATAAGAAAGATATTCTATTAAAGATTTAATGGTAAAATACAACTGGAAAGAACATAAATATAACCTGAATTTTGGAAATGCAAGAAAAGAATGGGCAATAAAAATTAAATAAACAAATATAAGGTACTAATAAAAAGTAAAATACACATCAACAGCAAAAGGCAATAGGGCAGATCTGAATACTGAGCCCAGGTAGTATCAGATTTCTGTTCAACATGAAATCTTTCCTGTGCCCCCAGTTTAAATTGGGTCACCCAGGTGTTACTTCCAAAAGACTTTTCACTTGTCTGTCACAGTTCTTTGTACATCCAAGATTACTGAACTATTTTTCATAGCTATTTATTTAGTGCTTCCTTTTCCCCACTAGCCTAATAAGCTCCATAAAGTCAAGGATCATTTCTTCTTCATGTGCCAGTGTGTCCCCAGTAGAACACCTCATACACTGAATGAGTTCAATTAACATTTGTCGACTAAATAAATAAGCAGACTCTTGTTTTATAAATTTATATCAACTATTCCTGACTAGCTACTTTTCCCAAGGCCCAAGATCCATTTTCAGGGAAACTACTAAGTAAGAGACATACAGGTTGAATATCACTTATCCAAAATGCTTGGAACCAGAAGTGTTTCAGATTTTGAATTGTTTTGGATTTTAAAATGTTTACATATACATTCCATCTTGGGGATGGGACCTAAGTCTAAATTTGAAATTCATTTATGATTCATACATACCTAATACATATAGCCTGAAGGTAATTTTATACAACGTTTTAAATAGTACATGCAACAAAGTTTGTGTATTCTGAACCATCAAAAAGCAAATGTGTCATTATTTTGGTGCCCAACAAATTTTGAATTTTAATGCATTTCAGATTTCTAATTTTTGGATGAGGTATGTTCAACCTGTATCTAAATTCAAATACATTTGCATTGAAGATTTTATATCCTAGTCCAGGGATTGAAAAACTACAACTTCCAAGCCACATCAGGCCATCCATATGTTTTTGTAAATAAAGTTTTGTTGGAATATAGTCAAACCCATTCATTTACATACTGTGTATGGCTGCTTTTGTGCTACAACAGCAGTGCTGGTAATTGCAACAGAAAGCTAAAAATATTTACTGTCTGGCCCTTTACAAGAAAAGTTTGCCAACCTCTGTTTAATGACTTTAAACTAATGACTTTAAACTAATAATAAAAAGAAACATAAAAAGTTTGCCAACCTCTAATGACTTTAAACTAGACTAATCATTTTTAACTAATAATAAAAAGAAACATAGGATAATGAGCTTTTGGAGTCATTCATGAAACTATTTGACATAACTAAACTATATACCAGCAATATTACTATCAAAAATTCAATAACTTAGCTACTTTAGTTCATAAACTTTTAAGAGTGAAAGGATTAGGCACAGTATTCTTAGAAATGGCCAACACTTCAAATACTTTCTTTTTTTTATAGGCTTTTAGTAACGCCTCAAATTTTTAGCAGAGCTGATTTTAATCATTAAACATACAAAACAAATTGCTACTCTGCTGTAATTATCAGGCAGGATGAACTAAAAATCCCAATGTGAAATCAGCATTTCCATAGCAACCTGTACTTCCATTGGCCCCACTGCACATAGGTAGGAACTGGCATTGCTTTGCATATTTAGAAAAAACACCTCCATTAAATAATACAAAAAAAAAACAATTTGCTTGAATAAAAATAACACATTTGTCAAGATATTAATACAACACTACTACAAATTCAATAATATATAAATTGATCAAAATTTTTTTTAAAAGTCTGGACTGAATGTGTATCAGCTGCACATTCAATAATTTATCTAAACGTCAATTTATCTAAACGTCAATTAAAAAAATCAAAGATGTAAAATGTTTAGGGAAAGTAATGAAGATGCAATTATTGCCAAATCAGCTAATATTAAATAAGCAATCCTATACAATACAGTAACCCCCCTTTACCTGTGGTTTTACTTCCTGTGGCTGCAGTTACCTGCAGTCAACTGTGGTTTGAAAATATTACATGGAAAATTTCAGAAATAAACAATTCATAAGTTTTAGATTGTATGGCATTCTGAGTAGTGTGATGAAATATGCTGTTCTACTCCATCCCCCCCAGGGGACATGAATCAGCCCTTTGTCCAGCACAACCATGCTGTGTATGCTACCTGTCTGTCTATTTAGTTATTCAGTAGCTATTTCAGTTATGACTGACTGTTGCAGCATAAGAGAGTTTGTGTTCAAGTAACCCTTATTTTACTTAATAATAGCCTGAAACTGCGAGAGTAGCAATGCTGGCATATTGCTATACTTGTATTTTATGATTATTGTGGTTAATCTCTTACTATGTCTATCAATTATACTTTATAAGTTAAAATTTATCATAGGTATGTATGAATAGGAAAAAACATAGCATATATAGGGGTTTGGTACCATCCACAGTTTCAGACATCCACCTAAACTCAAGTGATCATCCCACCTCAGCTTCCTGCATAGCTGAAACTACAGATAAGTACCACCATACCCAGCTGATTTTTTATTTTTTGTAGAGATAGGGGTCTCACTTTGTTGCCCAGACAGGTCTTGAACTCCTGGCCTCAAGTAATCCTCCCACCTTGGCCTCCCAAAGTGCTGGGATTACAGGTGTGAGCCGCCACTCCTGTTCATTTTTCTACTACCAAATTTAAGAACCTACCTACATCTGTATACTAATACTCTGCCTTTCCTCCTTATATAATTGATGGATGGTAATCAGCTCCTTTCTAAGGTCAATTCTTCCCAAATTCACTCTTGAACACAACATAATCATGCTTTTTTCCTTATTGGACCAAGAAAAACCCATAGTTATTAAAGTCACCAGAAACCTCTACACTGCCAAATCCAGTGACCATTTCCCATCTTCAAAGATTTTCCTCACCTCTTAGAAGCAGCTGACACAGTCATTCACAGCCTCCTCCCTGTCTCCTGAAACACCACACCCTTGGTTTTCCTTCTGCCTCACTGGCTGCACTTCTTAGTTTTATTTGCTGAATCCTTTCTGTCCTCTCCAGGACAGTCTTCAGACTCTCCTCATTAATAATTTCTTTGATCTCATTGCTTTAAATACTATTTAAATGCTAACACAGGGCTAGGCGCAGTGGCTCATGCCTGTAATCCCAGCACTTTGGGAGTCTGAGATGGGCGGATCACGAGGTCAAGAGACAGAGACCATCCTGGCCAACATGGTGAAACCCCGTCTCTACTAAAAACACAAAAATTAGCTGGGCATGGTGGTGCGTGCCTATAGTCCCAGCTACTCAGGAGGCTTAGGCAGGAGAATCGCTTGAACCCAGAAGGCGGAGGTTGCAATGAGTTGGGATTGAGCCACTGCACTCCAGCCTGGTGACAGAGCGAGACCCCGTCTCAAAAAAAAAAAAAGGCTAATGCATCCAAATCTATATGGGAGAACCAGCATCTACCCAGAACTCCAGGGGCAGTCACCCTACACTACCATGTGACCGGGCATTTCATACTTCACACATCCATAACAGTATTCTTGATTTCCCACTCCCCCAAAATTTGTCCCTCCTGCAATTTTTCCCATTTCAATATACAGCACCAGCAATGCCCTGTATCCTGACACTTTTCACCAGTTTTACCACTGTAATCCATCCATGGCTCTATCTGAACTAATATAATACTCTCCTTCTAAGTGATCTCCTGCTTCCACTAATGCCTCTCTACACTGCCTTCTCAAAAGAGCAGCCAGAAAAATTCTGTCAAAATATAAACCAAATCATGACACAGCCTTGCTAAAAACAAAACAAAACAAAACAAAACAAAAAACAAAAAAAACCTTCAAATGGCTCCCCATCATTAAAACAAATATGAAAGTTATCCATGGCCTGTAAGACACTACCTCAGCAGTCCCCAACCTTTTTGGCACCAAGGACCAGTTTTGTGGAAGACAATTTTTCCACAGACAGGGTGGCAGGGCAGTGGTGGGGGTGGGGGTGCTTTCAGGATGAAACTATTACACCTCAGATCAACAGGAATTAGATTCTTGTAAGGGGGTGTGTAACCTAGATCCCTCACATGTCTAATTCACAATAGGGTTCATGCTCCTATGAGAATCTTGTCGCTGATCTGACAGAAGGTGGAGATCAGACAATAATGCCGACTGGCCCGCTCCGCTCACCTCTTGCTGTGCGGCCCAGTTCCAAATAGGCCACAGACCAGTACCCATCCATGGCCCAGGGATATGGGCCCCCTGCCTTACGTAATCTGACTTATGTCTCCTATCTCATCTCAACTTCTCTTTCTCTTCCTCCCTCTACTACCAGTCACACTTGTCTTTTTGCAGTCTCTTGATGTTCTTCAAGCTTGTCTCTGCTTCAGATCCTTTGCTGTTTCTTCTACTTGAAATAATCTTCCCTCAGATATTCACAAGGACCTCTCACTCACTTTTTTCAGTCTGATGAAACATCACCTATATGGAAAGACTTTCCCTCAGCAACACTCTGTTGAAAATATCATCGCAGCTCCTTCTACTTTGCTTCATTTTCTACAAAACTATTTTCAATTTTATAATATATTGTTACATAGTTTATATATTTGTTCACTTTCTCATCCACTAGAAATATAAGCGCCTGAGGGCACAAACTTTGACTTAATTGCTTCTCTGTATCCCCCAACTAAAATGGTATCTGACACTAATTAAGTCTTCAATAATAACTGTTGAACTGACAAATGGCTATACAATTTTTTTTTTTTGAGACGGAGTCTTGCTCTGTCGTCCAGGCTGGAATGCAGTGGCACGATCTCAGGTCACCACAAGCTCCACCTCCCGGGTTCCAGGGATTCTCCTGCCTCAACCTCCCGAGTAGATGGGACTACAAGTGCGTGCCACCATGCCTGGCTAATTTTGTATTTTTAGTAGAGACGGGGATTCACTATGTTGGCCAGGCTGGTCTCGAACTCCTGACCTCATGATCTGCCTGCCTAGGCCCCCCAAATTGCTGGGATTACAGGGTTGAGCCACCACGCCCGGCACTATTACAATTTTTAAGAAGGATTTTTCTTTAACTTGAATGGTTTATGGTTCATAAACTTGAACGGTTTATAAGATTACTAAAACTATTTAATTCAGACTTCATATACAGAGGTACCACTTCTGAAAAGGAAACTCTAATAAAAACATGTCTTCCTTCTTTCTGCATTAAAATTCCAGACCCTAGGAAATTTCTGGCATTTTTTCCAAAATAAACAGAGGTAAAATTATCTTAATGGGCTAAATATAAGATCTCATGAAACTCTTGCTGATAGGTACAAAAGCCATTTCCATTTAAACTCTATTTTACTTTATTGCCCTCTTCCCCAACACAACATACACATACAGATACCTTGGTTACTTTATCTTAGTTTTCATTAAGTTTAATTTTTTTACCAGGTAACATACTTACGTACTTATGTGAATATTAAAAGTTAAAAAATAAAAGATTGTAAGTCTGAAAAGATATACAGTGAAAGGTCTCCCCATCCCTTGCCTATATCTCAGTGACTCAGTTCAAACTCCCACTACCAAAAAGTAACCATTGTTATTATAGGGTGGAAGTTGGCCATTTTTTTCTGTAAAAAGCCACACAGAAAATATTTGCAGCTTTATGGACTATCCACTCTCTGTCACAACTACTCAATTCAGCCATTATAGAGTGAAGGCAGCCTTAGATAATATGTAAATGCATGTGTATAGCAGTTCTTCAATACAACTTTATTTGCAAATATAGACAGTAGGCTGAATTTTTCCCATAGGGGTCACAGTTTGCCAAAACCTGTTACAGAACAGTTTAAATACCAGTGTCTCTTTTATAAAAAATGTTAATGGTAGTGTTTGGAAGAGACTTCAATGGAAGAAACTGCAACAAAGAATGCTATTTGAAACAAAAATTCATCCTACCCATAATGACGTGTTAAAATAATATATATTTTCATATAAATAGATGTAAGATTATTCCCAGATGCCTCTCCATAATCCATAATATATTAGTGCAAATATTTTCTTCTACCTCTTCATGGCACAATTATGAAGAACTGGAGGAACGTTAAGACAAGACGGAGTGGTAACCTAACTATCAGCGCACTGTCAATCATTAACTCTGGCTTAACATTTTCTCTTAAATGGTAGAGGAAATGTATAATTAAAATCTCCACAGAATGCATTAAAGAAATAAACCACAGTCTATATTTAAAAACAAACAACATTTCAACTGTATGTTTCTCAACCAGATCAATTCCAAAATGCATGTTTCTAATAAGTCTTACAAAGGATTTAATTTAATAAAATGAATCAAGATTAGAGAGAACCAGATCTCTCCAAAAAGCAGATCACTGTTACACTGAATAATCAGCTTCTCAAAATTCAGAGGTATCCTAGGAATATATCTTACCTTAGATGCCATTCTCATAAAGAGCTTGTTTTGATTTTCTGCTGTTCCCATCTTTTCATTTTTGACTAAATCATTTAGGCTTAGATTATCATCATCATGAAAGTATCTGACCCTTTCTCTTTCCTCATGGGTTGAAACCTATGACAAAATGAACATTATTAATTTAATGAAAACATGAGTCTCTGAAGTATTTCTTGATGGATTACATAAATATCTGATGTTAAATGTAAAAATCCCACTATGTAATCACAACCTTTCCTTCCAGTTTATCCCTAGTCTGCCAGTTTCCATGTGAAAAAACTTCCATTAGAATTACACTCCCTACTTCTACCTCTTTACTCTCCTCTTCCCCAGGGATGGAAGCATGATATGATCTGCTTTCTGAGCTTTGATGAAAGAGCAAAACTGCTCTACCCCTTCTTCTCTCTTTTCTGCTCTTCTTCTCCTTATAGTTAAAATTCCTTACCACTGTGGTGGGAAGACTGAAGTCATCCAGAAATGGAGTAAGTATATCAAAAACAGAGATGAAGTATTAGCAAATCCACTACTATGAATTTAATGATTATGTTGCCCCAAAATTCACATGTTGAAATCTCAGTATGAAGGTATTAAGATGCAAGGTCTTTGGGAGGTAACTGGGCTATGAGCATGAAGTACTCAGAAATGGGATCAGAACCTGTGATGGTTAATACTGAGTGTCAACTTGATTGGACTGAAGGATGCAAAGTATTCTTCCTGGGTGTGTCTGTGAGGGTGTTGCTAAAGGAGATTAACATTTGAGTTAGTGGACTGGGAAAGGCAGACCCACCCTCAGTGTGGGTGGGAACCATCTAATCAGCTGCCAGCGAGTCAGAGATGTTGAAATGACTTGACTTGCTGAGTCTTCTGGCCTTCATCTTTCTCCCATGCTGGATGCTTCCTGCCCTCAAACATCAGACTCCAAGTTCTTCAGTTTTCGGATTCTTGGACTTACACCAGTGGTTTGCCAGGGATTCTCGGGCCTTCAGCCACAGACCGAAGGCTGCACTGTCAGCTTCCCTACTTTTGAGGTTTTGGGACTTGGACTGGCTTCCTTGCTCCTCAGCTTGCAGACGGCCTATGTAGGACTTTACCTTGTCATTGTGTGAGCCAACACTCCTTAATAAACTCCCCTTCATATATACATCTATCCTCTTAATTCTGTCCCTCTAGGGAACCCTAATACAGTACCTCTATTAAAAGACATGAGCATTTGTTCTCTCTCTCTTTTTTCTCTGCCATTTGAGGATACAAGAAGACTATCATCTACAAACCCGTAAGCGTGCCCTCATCAGACAATGAAGCTGCCATTCCAAGTCCTAATCTTGGACTTCTCAGTCTCCAGAACTGTGAGAAATAAATTTCTATTGTTTAAGCCATCCAGTCTATGTTACAGTAGCCTGAACTAAGAGACCAACTTCTAATTATTAAACCCTTGTTCTGTAAACAGCTTTATCAAAAGCAAAGCTGATATTCTGGTCTCCATCTAATTCAGTCCCAGATTTTCCTATCAGTTGGTTCCATACCCAGGTGTGCAACAGAAAAATACTGTTTATTTCCTCTCAAATCAAATCTTTCCAATGCTGCTCTCACATTCCCTTATCCAAATAAAACCTTGTCTTTAACTTCTTTGAGATCTTTGGAACAGGGGTGCAACTACATTTTCCAACATTATTATTCTTTTCTTTACTAGCTTAAACCTCATATCCCATGACTCCAATCACCCCCTGGCTCCAGACACTTAATTTCTGGCCCTCTTGTCTTTTCATTATACTCAAAGAGCAAACTCTACTCATGAATGAAAGCGTCTACCTTCTTTACTCCTATACCTAGATTGCTCAGTAATATGCAACTCAAAAAGGGCCCTCAATGCCTTCTGACAATGCATTTATGGATCCCTAGTCAGTTCCACCATTTCATATAAATCAGACCTTTACTATTCTCCTCCTGCACCTCCTCTCCAACCACCAAATTCCTCCCATTACATTAGAAGACATATCCATCCCACTTCTATTTGTTGGATGAATTAATTAGAATCTCTAGCAACATAGGCACTCAACAGGCAAAAAATAAACATTTGACAGAAATATTCTGAATGAACAGTTCTTTTGTATATGCAATTATCACTTGTCTGATCTTCCAAATTTAAAATAAAAAAAACTAACTTGAGAAAGCTGAATATGTTGTTTTTGCCAGCTCAAGAGCCTCAAGGTAGTGCTAAAAACTAATTACTAGAGTTGGAAAATGGAAAAGAAAATTAGTTTTATAAAGGATCATGGCACCTACATAATTAAGCCATTACTGTGTATGGATACCCCATCACCAGGTCTCAAGTTAGCTGTCTAACACTAGTAACAGCTCTGAGAGACCAAAGTTTTCCCTAAGAGCTATAGCAAGTATGCCAAAAGCAGCTGAAAACAACATCAAAGAAATGTACACTAAAATTAAAATTGCCTTAAACATTCAATGTTAACAACTATTTGAAAAAATAGTTGGATTAGTTTCCATTCTGTAAAAGGCAAAGAGATATAACTAAGAATAAAAGTAGTAACAACATCATTTCCTACCTTCCAATATTGGCATTCAAAAGCCACATTTCAGAAAATATTTTATAATCTGATACAAAGAAAGCCCCAAGGGGAAGAAGGAATTCTGAATTAATAAACAAAGACATATGTTAAACATACCATCTGTCTCTTTCTTCTTCCTCCTTGTGATTCCAGAGATTTTCCGGGTGTGTTCACAGGCCATACTCTTCCAGACTGATCTGTTCTGACAAGGATTACTTCTTGCTGGTCTTCATTCTATAAAAAGATTTAGAGATAACTATTGAAATTATTGTGAAGAATGTTGAATGTTTTTATTTAATAACAAAAAAAGCATTAAAATGATTAACGTTTCCACATAACGTTGTGGATTGCCTTAAATCTCCTGGATTTTCATTACTCTCTATACTATAAAATGAACATAATCTTTTGGGGAAAGGGTAAAAAATACCCAATGTTTATTTTAGTATTTTTAAAAAAGCAATCAAGAGAAGAAAATTTCAAATAAAATTTTCATCTAGACAATATTAAAAGATGACGAAGTATCAATAGTCCATGTGCCCATCACTTATGCAGTAGATGTAATGTTTTTTAAATTTAAAGATCCTATTAAAATCTGATTATAAGAAATAAAACAACTAAAGACAAACTTGCTAAATTAGCAAATATAATGATACTACCCGTAACTTCTATTCTTTCTATTAATAGCCTTCAAATGCTTTTCAGTTTTCTGACTCTTCAGAAGGAATTATATCCCACACACTTTCAAGCCATATTTTTCTTACAAACTTTTGGCCAAATATAAACCTGGCACAGTACAGAATAAGAGTAAACTTTATTCTCTAATGGAAATGGAATGTTATTGGAAGGATTCTAATAATCATTAAAGAATATTAGAGAATGACAAAGGAAAAGAAATTGTTATATCAAAAAGACACCTGCACTTGTATGTTTATCCCAGCACTATTCACACAATTGCCAAGTCATGGAATCAACTGAAGTGTCCACTAATGGATGATTGAAAAGAGAAAATGTGGTGTATACATGCCATGGAATACTACACAATCACACAAAAAACAGAAATGTCTTTCACAGCAGCATGGATGGAGCTAGAGGCAATTATCCTAAGTGAAATAACTCAGGAAATCAAATACTGCATGTTCTCACTTAACAGTGGGAACTAAACAATGGGTACACATGGACATAAAGAGGGAAATAATAGACACTGTAGTCTCCAAAAGCAGGGAGGATGGAAAGGGAGTAATGGCTGAAAAAATTACCTATTGGGAACAATTTTTATTATTCAGGTGATGGGTAGAAGCCCAAACCTCACCATTATGCAATATATCCCTGTAAAAAACCTGCATATGCAACCCCTGAATCTATTTTTTAAAAATTAAAAACAAAAATAATATTAAGGAATAATCATTAAAAATCCATTTGAAACAAGACCAAGCAAAATATTCACATTATAGTTTTCTTCTCAATTGGAATCAACTATAGAAAAAATCAATCCCAATTCCATTTAATAGATGTTAGTTCCCCTGCTGAAATGGAAGAAAAATAATATATACCTATTATTGATCTTACATTCACACACAATACTAAATTGATATAAAAGATTATCATTACTTTTCTTCCTCAATAAATAAACGAACATTAATGAAGTGCCATCTTTTAAAAGATCTTTCTACTCACTCCCTTACCAGATAGTAGAGATAGGCAACACATTATAAGCTGGCATCTAACTTTACCACACTGATAAAGCTGGTCTCCCTAAGGACTTTCAAAATACTAAGTCCAATACATAATTATTAAATTGTCATCTTCCCTGATTTGAAAGCATTTGGTTCTGTTTATTACATTCTCTAGCCTGAAATTCTTCTTATTTCAGTTTTAAACACTCTACTCTCTCCTGGTTCTGCCTTTACCTCTCTGACACATTCATTCATTATTCATTCATTCATCAAATATTTCTGAAATATCTATTTAATCTTAGGAGTTAAAAGAAATCTAACACCTGCCTTGTATAAGCTTATGGCCTAGTGGGGAAACTACTCCCCACATGAATTATTAATATAAACAAAGTCACCTTCACTTTCTCCTTCATTTCCAGCTACCCCTCAAATGCTGATGATTCCAGGGTTCCTTGGTTTCCAGCCCTTCAGCCTGAAACCTAATCATCACCCATATTGCAAAAAAAATTCACCGTGTTAAAAACAAATATAATCATGCTATTCTTTGCTTAAAAATCTGCAGGGAACATTTATCACCAGAACATCAATACCACTGCAAGTATGGCCCACAGACCATCCCAAGTCCAATAATTACTAGACATTAAATATTTGTTACTAATCCATGATGAGGTAAGTATAGAAACTGAGTGTTTTATAGCAATTGTATAGAACTGATATGGTTTGCCTCCATGTCCCCACCCAAATCTCATCTTGTAGCTCCCATAATTTCCACGTGTTGTAGGAGGGACCCGGTGGGAGATGACTGAATCATGGGGGCAGGTCTTTCCTGTGCTGTTCTCGTGATAGTGAATGGATCTCATGAGATCTGACAGTTTTAAAAACGGGAATTTCTCCACACAAGCTCTCTCTTTCCCTGCTGCCATCCACGTAAGATGTGACTTGCTCCTCCTTGCCTTCAGCCATGACTGTGAGGCCTCCCCAGCCATGTGGAACTGTAAGTCCAATTAAACCTCTTTCTTTTGTAAATTGCCCAGTTTCGGGTATGTCTTTATCAGCAGCATGAAAACAGACAAATACAAGAATCACTTTATGTTGGTTCAACCTAAATAAAAACTTGGGACTTTATTTCATTTATCTTTATTTCATTTTTCTATGATTATTTTTTATTGTATTTTATAAAACTATTAATCCATCATGGTCTGTAAAATTTTAAAATATATATAAACAACCCTGATCCTACACCATAGTCTAAATAGTGAAATAAAGGTAAAGCATTTTCACACAGTATACAAAGCCTTCAAATTCTGGCCCTAGATTTTTCTAGTTCCTTGTAATTTTTGTAAACGTACTGTAAATTTTATTTCTTCTGCGTGGAACAATTATCCCTTCTTGCTCAACTAGGAAATTGAGAATTTAGTCACAGCCAATGCTCTGTTCCCAATAATTTTTGGCACATGTATGTTACTAGACTGTAATATTTTCAGTAACTATTTGTCTATATTTATCTCTTTTTGCAGGACAAAGACTAAGCTATACACTACTGGTACCTATAGGACCTGTCACAGTGTCAAACAATAATGGGAATTCAATAAATGCTTGATAAATGTTATTACAAGCTGGCACCTCAGACAGATTAATTGTATCCCAAAACTAACCCACTTTCCCCTTCAGTGAGCTCTTTCCTCCCTTTGCCAACTTTCTGTTCCTTAGGACTGCCAATACGTAAGACCCCAAGTTGCTCCATTTTGGGTACGCAAGACAGAGTGCATCTAACCACCTACATGGCATTAAAATACGAGACAGAAATGAAAAGTTCACTCTACACAGAAAATATGCAAAAACATTTTCATTATCCATGTAATTTTGTAATTTATCTCAAAAGAAACCAGAAACACTTCTTGATATAACTAAAAAGCATTTATAAACTCTTTCCATTTTCATAAGAATGCCAAATGCTCCAGGTTTTTAAATTATCCCCAACAATTACAGTTTGCTCTGGAGGACTTTTTATTTTAAAAACATCAAAACTGATAATTTGTTAAAGCATTTTATAAGGACACTTTAATTAACAAATCCCAAAATGCTCTGGGATCATTTACTCATTAATCCATAAAAGAACCTTCTGGCTGACAAAAATCATGGATTCTTATTTTAAAGGAAGAAAGGAGAAAACAAAACACTTTATATAAAGCTACAAAATCAGTTTGCTAACATAACCAGAATAAACCTTCCCTGTTGGTATCTATAGTATTTGTGAGATAATAAATTTCTCCCACAAGTGCATATCATTTTTATAGTAATAAAAATTGAGGATTCAAGAGACCGTGGCAGACACAAGGCAAGACTAGATTGTAGCTCTGGACAGAGCAGCATGCAGGGGCTTGCATTGTGGATTTTAGCTCCAGATTGACTGTAAGAACAAACCAGCAATCCCGAGAGGACCCACAGACCCTCTCTGAAGGAAGCAGACTGCTACTCCTGCAGGACCCAGGAGACACCCCAAATACTGTGAGTCCCCCAACTGTGGAAGTGGGAACACACTTCCTCCCGAACATACCCCCCAACTGGAGAAGTTGAAGGTCTGTTTGCAGGAGAAGTTTTCGACTTTACTTGGAGTTGAGTCAAGTTAGGGGGCCAAGTGAAATACAGGGGTAGAGGAAGGAGCAGAAAGGCCCTGGGATCTCGCTGGGTCCCCAAACAGCCCGTTCCTGCCTGGCACCACAGGGATCCAACAGGAGGGTGGCCAGAGGAGCAGGGAGTAAAACTCCACAGGGAAAAGGAATTATCTAGCGGAACTTTGTAACAATTTGAACAGGGTGAGAAACCTCCTGGCCAGAACTCAAGGGAGGGCACAAATCCTGCGTACAGACTTCACAGGCAGGGTAAGAACTAAAGCCCTTTTCTCTCGCAGCTGGAAGGCAGATATCCTCAGGTATGTTTTCAAGCCCACCTTGCCCTCAGCCTGGAAACAGACTCCACGCTGTTGGTGGGGGCACAGTGAGAGTGAGACTGGCCCTTCAGTTTGCATGGGAGCTGGGTGAGGCCTGTGACTGCCAGCTTTCCCCCACTTCCCTGACAACCTGCATGACTCAGCAGAGGCAGCCATAATCCTAATAATAGGTAACACAACTCTAGTGACCTGGGAATCTCATCCCATCCCCCACAGCAGCCCCAGCAAGACGCGCCCACGGAGAGTCTGAGCTCAGGCAGGCCTAGCCCCGCCCCCACCTGATGATCCTTCCCAATCCACTCTGGTAGTGGAAGACAAAGGGCATACAACCTTGGGAGTTCTAGGGCCTCACCCACCACCAGTCTCTCTCCACCCTACTACAGCTGATGCTCTCTGGAAAGTGCCACCTCCTGGCAGGAGGCCAACCAGCACAAAAATGGAGAATTAAACCACCAAAGCTAAGAACCCTCACGGAGTTCACTGCACCCTCTGTCACATCCACCAGAACAAGCAGCTGGTATCCATAGCTGAGAGACCCATAGACAGTTCACATCACAGGACTCTGTGAAAACCCCCCGTACCAGCCCATAGCCAGGTAAACTTGCTGGGTGGCTAGACCCAGAAGACAGACAACAAACACTGCAGTCGGGTTCACAGGAAGCCACATCCATAGGAAAAGGCGGAGATTATTACATCAAGGGAATACCCCATGGGACAAAAGAATCTAAACAATAGCCTTCAAATAGCCTTCAGCCCTAGACCTTCCCTTTGACACAGCCTACCCAAATGAGAAGGAACCAGAAAACCAACCCTGGTAATATGACAAAACAAGGCTCTTCAACGCCTCCCAAAAATCACACTAGTTCGCCAGCAATGGATCCAAACCAAGAAGAAATCCCTGATTTCTAACCTGAAAAAGAATTCAGGAAATTAGTTATTAAGCTAATCAGGGAGGGACCAGAGAAAGGCAAAGCCCAATGCAAGAAAATCTGAAACATGATACAAGACGTGAAGGAAAAAATATTCAAGGAAATAGATAGCTTAAAGAAAACACAATTAAAAATTCAGGAAACTTTGGACACACTTTTAGAAATGCAAAATGCTGTGGAAAGTCTCAACAACAAAATTGAACAAGTAGAAAAAAGAAATCCAGAGCTTGAAGACAAGGTCTTCAAATTAACCCAATCCAACTAAGACAAAGACAAAAAACTAAGAAAATATGAACAAAGGCTCCAAGAAGTCTGGGATTATGTTAATCAACCAAACCTAAGAATAATCGGTATACCTGAGGAAGAAGAGAATTCTAAAAGCCCGGAAAACATATTTGGTGGAATAATCAAGGAAAACTTTCCCAGCCTTGTGAGAGACGTAGACAGCCAAATACAAGAAGCACAAAGAATACCTGGGAAATTCATCACAAAAACATCTTTGCCTAGGCACACTGTCATCAGGTTATCCCAAGTTAAGATGAAGGAAAGAATCTTAAGAGCTGTGAGACAGAAGCACCAGGTAACCTATAAAGGAAAACCCATCAGATCAACAGCAGATTTCTCAGCGGAAACCCTATAAGCTAGAAGGGATTGGGGACCTATCTTCAGCCTCCTCAAACAAAACATTTATCAGCCAAGAATTTTGTATCCAGCAAAACTAAGCATGATATATGAAGGAAAGACACAGTTGTTTTCAGACACACAAACACTGACTGAGAGAATTCGCCATTACCAAACCACCACCTTTTGCATGGTTTTGAAGGTTCCTTTTGCTAAAAGGAGCTCTAAATCTTGAAACAAATCTTTTACACCAAAACAGAACCTCTTTAAAGCATAAATTACACAGGACCTATAAAACAAAAAATACAAGTTAAAAGGCAAAAACAAAAACAAAAGTACACAGGCAACAAAGAGCATAAGAAAAGTAACGGTACCTCACCTTTCAATGCTAACATCGAATGAATGTAAATGGCCTAAATGCTCCACTTAAAAGATACGGAATCACAGAATGGATAAGAACTCACCAACCAACTATGTGCCACCTTCAGGAAACTCACCTAACACATAAGGACTTACATAAACTTAAAATAAAGGGATGGAAAAAGGCATTTCACACAAATGGACACCAAAAGTGAGGAGGAGTAGCTATTCTTATATCAGACAAAACAAACTTTAAAGCAACGGCAGTTAAAAGAGACAAAGAGGGACAGTATATAATGGTAAAAGGCCTTGTCCAACAGGAAAATATCACAATCCTAAACATATATGTGCCTAACACTGGTGCTCCCAAATTTATAAAACAATAGACCTAAGAAATTAGATAGACAGCAAAAAAGTAAAAGTGGGGGACTTCAATACTCCACTGATAGCCCTAGATAGGTCATCAAGACAGAAAGTCAACAAAGAAACAACGAATTTAAACTATACCTTGGAACAAATGGATTTAACAGATATATACAGGACATTTCATCCAGCAACTGCAGCATACACATTCTATTCAACAGCACATGGAACTTTCTCCAAGATAGACCATTTGATAGGCCATAAAATGAGCCTAGATAAATTTAAGAAAATTGAAACTATATCAAGCACTCTTTCAGACCACAGTGGAATAAAACTGGAAATTAACTCCAAAAGGAACCTTCAAAACGATCCAAATATAGGGAAATTAAATAACCTGCTCCTGAATGAGCACTGGGTCAAAAACAAAATCAAGATAGAAATTTAAAAAATTCTTTGAACTGAAAGACGGTAATGACACAACCTATCAAAACCTCTGGGATACAGCAAAGGCAGTGCTAAGAGAAAAGTTCATAGCCCTAAACGCCTATATCAAAAGTCTGAAAGTGCACAAACTGACATTCTAAGGTCACACCTCAAGGAACCAGAGAAAAAAGAACAAACCAAACCCAAACCCAGCAGAAAAAATGAAATAACCAAGATCAGAGCAGAACTAAATGAAATTGAAAAAAACAAACCAACCACAAAAGATAAATGAAATAAAAAGCTGGTTCTTCAAAAAGATAAATAAAATTGATACACTATTAGCAATATTAACCAAGAAGAGAGAAAATCCAAATAACCTTACTAAGAAACAAAAAAAGAGATATTACAATTAACACCACTGAAATACAAAAGATCATTCAAAGCTACTATGAACACTTTTATGTACATAAACTAGAAAACCTAGAAGAGATGGATAAATTCCTGGAAGAATACAACCCTCCTAGCTTAAATCAGGAAGAATTAGACACCCTGAACAGACCAATAACAAGCAGTGAGACTGAAATGGTAATTTAAAAATTAACAACAAAAAAAAGTCCAGGACCAGAAGGATTCACAGATGAATTCTACCAGACATTCAAAGAAGAATTGGTACCAATCCTTTTGACACTATTTCACAAGATAGAGAAAGAAGGAACCCTCCCTAATTCATTCTGTGAAGCCAGCATCACCCTAATACCAAAACCAGGAAAGGACATAGCCAAAAAAGAAAACTACAGACTGATATCCTTGATGAACACAGATGTTAAAATCCTTAACAAAATACTAGCTAACCGAATCCAATGACATATCAAAAAGATAATCCACCATGATCAAGTGGGTTTTATACCAGGGATGTAGGGATGGTTTAACATACACAAGTCAATAAATGTGATACACCACATAAAGAGAATTAAAAACAAAAATCACATGATCATCTCAATAGATGCAGAAAAAGCATTTGACAAAATCCAGCATCCCTATATTATTAAAACTCTCAGCAAAATCAACATACAAGGGACATACCTTAATGTAATAAAGGCCATCTATGACAAACCCACAGCCAACATAATACTGAATGGTGAAAAGTTGAAAGCATTCTCTCTGAGAACTGGAGCAAGACAAGGATGCTCACTCTCACCACTCCTCTTCAACACAGTACTGGAAGCCCTAGCCAGAGCAATCAGACAAGAGAAAGAAACAAAGGGCATCCAAATTGGTAAAGAGGAAGTCAAACTGTCACTGTTTGCTGACGATATGATTGTTTACCTTGAAAACCCTAAGGACTCCTCCAGAAAGCTTCTAGAACTGATAAAAGAATGCAGCAAAGTTTCTGGATACAAGATTAATGTACCACAAATCAGTAGCTCTTCTACACACCAACAGCGAACAAGCAGAGAATCAAATCAAGAACTCAACCCCTGTTACAATAGCTGCAAAAATAAAAATAAAAATAAAAATAAAATACTTAGGAATATACCTAACAAAAGAGTCAAAAGGCCTCTACAAGGAAAACTACAAAACACTGCTGAAAGAAATCACAGACGACACAAACAAATAGAATCACATCCCTTGCTCATGGGTGAGTAGAATCAATATTGTGAAAATGACCATACTGCCAAAAGCAATCTACAAATTCAACACAATCCCCATCAGAATACCACCATCACTCTTCACAGAATTAGAAAAAAACAATTCTAAAATTCATAGAAACTAAAAAATGGCCCACATAGCCAAAGCAAGGCTAAGAAAAAGAACAAATCTGGAAGCATCACACTACCTGATTTCAAACTATACTATAAGGCCATAGTCACCAAAACAGCATGGTACTGGTATAAAAATAGGCATATGGACCAATGTAACAGAATAGAGAACCCAGAAATAAACCCAAATACTTAAAGCCAACTGACCTTCGACAAATCAAACAAAAACATAAAGTGGGGAAAGGACGCCCTTTTCAACAAATGGTGCTGGGATAGCTGGCTAGCCACATGTAGGAGAATGAAACTGGATGCTCATCTCTCACTTTATACAAAAATCAACTCAAGATAGATTAAGGACTTAAACCTAAGACCTGAAACTATAAAAATTCTAGAAGATAACACTGGAAAAACCCTTCTAGACATTGGCTTAGGAAAGCATTTCATGACCAAGAACCCAAAAGTAAATGCAATAAAAACAAAGAAAAATAGCTGGGACCTATTAAACTAAAGAGCTTTTGCACAGCAAAAGGAACAGTCAGCAAAGTAAACAGACAATCCACAGAGTGGGAGAAAATCTTCACAACCTATACACCTGACAGAGGACTAATATCCAGAATCTACAACGAACTCAAACAAATCAGTAAGAAAAAAAAAAAAACTCATCAAAAAGTGGGCTAAGGATATGAATAGACAATTCTCAAAAGGAGATATACAAATGGCCAACAAACATATGAAAAAATGCTCAACATCACTAATGATCAGGGGAACACAAATCAAATCCACAATGCAATACCACTTTACTCCTGAAAGAATGAGCATAATCAAAAAATCGAAAAACAGTAGATGTCAGCGTGGATGCGGTGAACAAGGAACACTTCTACACTGCTAGTGGGAATGTAAACTAGTACAGCCACTATGGAAAACAGTGTGGAGATTCCTTAAAGAACTAAAAGTAGAACTGCCATTTGATCCAGCAATCCCACTACTGGGTATCTATCCAAAGGAAAAGAAGTCATTATTTGAAAAAGATACTTGTACACGCATGTTTATTGCAGCACAATTCACAACTGCAAAATCAGAGAACCAACCCAAATGCCCATCAATCAACGAGTGGATAAACAAACTGTGGTGTGTATATATATATATATATATATATATATATAATGGAATACTATGCAGCCATAAAAAGGAATGAATTTATAGCATTTGTGATGACCTGGATGAGACTGGAGACTATTATTCTAAGTGATGTAACTCAGGAATGGAAAACCAAACATCATATATTTTCACTGATATGTAGGAGCTAAGCTGTGAGAGGATGCAAAGGGATAAGAATGATACAATGCACTTTGGGGACTTTAGGGAAAGAGTGTGAAGGGGGTGAGGGATAAAAGACTACAAATATGGTCCAGTGTATACTGCTTGAGTGATGGGTGCACAAAATCTCACAAATCATCACTAAAGAACTTACTCATGTAACCAAATACCACTGGTATAAAAAAAAATTAAAATTAAAAAAAACTGTATTTATCTGCAAAAGACACTTCAGAGTCCAGTCATTCTAAATTTTCATTTACCCTAACAGGTATTTTTTTAAAAAACCAAAAAACTTTTTTTCATTTAAAAAACTATTTAGAACACATAAAACATGGCAACACTTATTCTTTTTTCTCATCTTCTGGTAGGGGATCTGTCGGTGGCTCTTCCACTGTTGTGCTGTTGCTCTCTGAGCCAGTGTTACTATCACTGGTTCCTTCCTCTGCCATACTGTCAACCCCCTCCTGCCCATTCTCCTTGTCCTCAGTAGTAGACGTGCCTTCTTCACCATTCTGTTGACTCTCTGTCGTTTCTTCAAGGTGTGTCTTCTCTGTCTCCATTGGAATGTTCTCCTCGTCTTTCTTCTCCTCACCTTTGTTTGGTGCTTGTTCTTCCTCAGGAATGATGCTGCCCTGACTGCACTCGGCTTGCTCTGCCGCCTCCTTCTCCCTTTCCTCCTGCTTTTTGCCGGTCTGTTCCTCTGCCTGTGCAATCTCAGCTGCAACTTTCTCCATATCCACTTCTACTGTCAGACCGCACAACCTTTTAAGTTCATTGTTAAGTGAATCTGTGCTTTCTAGGAATTTCCTCTTCTCCTCCTGTATTTGAAGAAGTTCAGCTTCTAGTTTTCACTGAGGAACCATTAAGGACTGGACCTGTCGTTTAAGGACCTGCATTCTAGCTGTTGCGACAACTGACCGAACGTCTGGCACCACACTCTCACTAAGGATTTCACTGAAGAGGTGATGGTTTCACTAAAAACCCATCATCATAATCATCTGGATCTTCAGCAGAGCTGAATGCTCATATATGGTTCTCCTTTCTCCATGTGAGACTGTCTCTGTCGACTTTCTTCCTCTAAAGCAGCTTCTGCACGATTTTTTGCATTTACGTAAGCAAGGTATGTGGGGGAATTATGATAGACCTTCATAAATTCATTGTACTCTTTCTGCTTCGTATCCATTTAAATATTCTTGTTTTTCTTCATCAGTGAGATCTCGCCACATGCCACCAATAATCTTGCCAGTCTCCCACAACTTTAGGTCAGGGTTGGAAGCCTTTACTTGGTCCCAGACCTTTCAGCTGTACCTCATGTAGGGCATCAGCAGCTTATCTGGTGGCTTTGGGGGTTTTGGAATTATAGTACCAGAGGATGCCATGAACTGGCTGTTGGCACCCGGGTTCCCTCCCAGCCCTTAGTTGTTGTAGGCGAGATGACTGTATGGACTGTATCCCACAAACCTTGGAGTGCTGGGCATTTGTGTTGCAGGAGCTGGGGTGGGAGGTGGGGCATAAGATGGTCTTTCCACAGGCAGAAAAAGCACCTGCAGCTCTGGCTTCGCTTCCCTTTGTCCCACGCTTACCCCAACAGATACTTAAAACTTAACTGTCTTCCCCACCTTTCCAGACCAAAGACCAAGCTGTATACTGTTTTGTATTGATAGGACCTAGCACAGTGTCAAATAGTGGGTACTCAATAAATGCTTGATAAATGAAATGAACAAGCTGGTGCCTCAGACAGGTTCATTATACACCCAAAGCTAACCCACTTTCCCCTCTACTTTCCTCTTCTACTCACTTCTCTACTTTCTGTTCCTTAGGCCTGCCAATACAAATCACACTGTTTTGCCACTTTGAGTAACCAAGACAGAAATATTGAGGAGCTCAGAAACAATGAGCAAGTTCCCAATTTGCCATCACATTAATACAGAATATGAGGCTTAAGAATCTGTATCAGTGTCAACAACCTATGGGCCACAGGCCAACTCCAGTCTTGTGCTTGTTTTTAGTCATCCCATAAGCTGAGGATGGTCTTTATATTGTTAAATGGCTGGGGGAAATCAAAACAATAGTATTTCATGACAGATTAAAATTCTACGCAATTCTAATTTTCGTGACCATAAATAAGGTTTTATTGGAACACAACCATGCTCATTCATTTATGTGTTATCTATGGCTGCCTTCATGATACAACAACAGTTGAATAGTTGTGGCACAGATTGTACAGCACACAAAATCTAAAATATTTACTATTTGGTCTCTACAGAAAAGTCTGCCAATCTTGGTTCTATACTATTATTTAGCTAATAAAACTAATTCAAAATCACTTTATTGATTTTTCCTACTACCTGATAACAAGCAAGATTAAAACTTGCAGTTGCTTAATAGTATTACACAAGATCCATGTTGGTAACAATTAGGGTAAGAGAACAGGACCTGGTACTCTTATTTTGTTAAAATATCTATGCTTGACTTCCATTTCAGGCCATGATGAACTAACAAAAAAAACAGTATAACCTGCTGCTGTTTAAAAAAACTAGACAACAGGACAAATACATGAAACAACCACTTTTAGACATTGACCTCGAGAAGAGTATAATCCCTAAAAGAAGGGAAAGAAATGAGATGAGCCCTAGGATGGCCACAGCTTTCTACTAAGAGGCAGTTCATAGACTGCAGTACAAAGGAATTTAATCAGACCTTCCTTGCTGACTAAATTGGGATATATTTTAACAAGATGTTGGAAGTAAGAGAAAAACTAGCAAAGAATATGAAGCAAGCCAAAAAAAAAAAAAGAAGAAGAAGAAGAAGATAATGCAAATTAAGAAATTTTATTTATTTACATAAAAGAAAGGCAATTATACTATTTGGCCTAACAGTATCTATTTACTGGATCAAGAGATAACTTAATTAAAAAATATAGAAGTAAAGCAAAGGAAACAACTAAGAACCAAAGTGGCTTCCACCAGGATTGGAAGAAAGTCTGGAAAAAGCTCACGACATTGTTATTATTTGGTATAGCAGGCCTAGCACTACTTGTATGTAATACGCTGATTAAAAAGAAAAGGAAAAAGCACACACTGCTTTGATTCAAAGCTACTATTAAAAAGTGTAAATGTTTGAAAGCCTTTTCTAGCATTGGGAAATAAAGCAAAACTCTCCTACTAAATCAGATTTTCCTATCAGTGGTCTACAAACTTCCAGAGTTCATGATGGTAGCCTGCAAGTTTGTTATCACTGAATGCCATAAAGCATGTTTCAACTTTTATCTTTTAAAATTTCCATAATCACTTTTTACTATTCTTAGTATTTTCATGGCTTTTGAATAATTTCTACTTTATCTCTAATTATGTCCACAAGTTGTTCCCTACACACAAGTACCTGGCCAAGGCAGTGGGTGGACTGAACACCAAGCTACACTCTGATAACTGAGATGTATGTCCTAGCCCAAGGCTACTATTTAATTTGTACAAAAGCATTCACAGGACTGCATCTGCCCAAAGGAGACATCTTTTTCTAACTCCATGAAGGCATCATATAGGCGCAATGCAGCCCTTTTAAAAATGTTTTTAAATTCTCAATTCTGTCCATACTGTCCCACTTTTATAATATACTATTGTGTTTTCCTTTTTTTTTTTTTAGATTGGCCTTCTTAGAGGCTATTAACTTTTTTCAAAGAATAAACTCTTGGGTTTTTAAAAAATCATTTCTATTTATTTTTTATTTTCTATTTTAGTAATTTCAGTTTTTAATCTATCCTTTGTATATCGTATCTACTCTTTGTTATGTTCTCTCTTATCTCTTCTGTGTTACTATTGGCTAATGCCACAGACATTATTACTAATTATTAATAAATAGCTATATTAATTATAACTTAACTTTCTGTTAAAGAATGACACACAGATTATTTACTATTTTTGAGTAGACAAGACCATAATAAATATTATAAGATTTTTCTATGATTCACTGTGATATAGCAAGTGTTTTTCTTTTCTTTCCTTTTTTTCAGTATTCTGGAGTTTCACTCAACTAATTTTTTCTCTTCCTCATCAATCTTCATTAACAACTGTCTACTATAATTATTCTAGTCAGAACCTCTTGGTACCTGCATATTTATGCACTATGAAATTGAAAACTGTATTTTCAGTTTTTATAAAGCACATTAAATTTGATTTCTATCTTCAACAATCTGTTATGCAGTCTACAATATGGTTAATTTTAAAACATGTACAAGGATAAAACTTACCTTGGGTTTGTTTTTTTTCCACTTAAAATGTTTTCCCTTTAAACTGCAAATATATAATTATGTGACATCGTCCCTCCATCTAACCCTTCCCCCTACCAAAAAAAAAAAATTCTGGAAACAGAACATATATGAATTCATCCGTCCAAGACAAAACCTAAGTCTCAAATGCTACTGAACAGTATAAGGACTCAGTATTTTTCATATGCAGTAATATTTCATTTTTCCCTTAAATTTAACAACAGAAAAGGGAATTAAATGCTAATAGTAGAGTTAGTGAGAAAAAAATAATGAGCATTTGAGGGAATAGAAGCAAACTGAGGAAGGAGAGAGGCTGCTGCTGGGTCCCTCTCTAAGGAAATCAATTAGTTGTGGCTTCAGTATCTGTTACAGAGCCCTGTTCAAAGTTTGAGATAGTCTATGACATAATTCTTCATCCCAAAATTAGATCATTAATAAATATATAATCATAACTATCCAAAACAACTACTCTACAATTTCTCCAAATTAGACCTGAGAAAATACTGTTCATAACACAATAAAAAAAATTTTTTAACTACCCCAGAAAGCATTGAGAATTAAATACATCCTATAGTCATATGAGTGGGTGTTTCCTATTCCATGACTGAAGCCTACAGGTCAACACTCCCAGCTAGGATAATACCATGCTAAAGATTATTTTTCTGGTAAACAAATAAGGCTTACAGATAGTAGTCATAAATAGAATAGCTTTTCCTTTGGCAAAGTTACAAAATGGTAACAGGATCCCAAAATAATGGCTATAGCCTCAGAACATTCTCTGGATGCCCAGATTGCACTAGGCCCTGTTCAATACCTCCATATTTCTATACTTTTCCTTTGAAGGACCGTCAAAGGACTGTAATTATATATTTATATAATTAATCTTATTTGTATGTTCTCTTTCCTGAAAGAAAGCTTTTATAAGGAGTATATGATGTCTGAATTAAGATCTCAAGGATATACAGAAGGTAACTACATGAAAAATACTCTAGGCAAAGAAAGACTGTAAAGGCACTGAGGCAGGAGGGAAAATAGCTACTTAGGAGGTCAAGACAAGAGATGATGGTCATCTTAGTGTGGTAGATATAAAAAACAAAGAGGAGGGTTAAGAAATATTTAGCAGGTAAAATTGTCACCATTTCACGATGAATTTTATGTGAGGTATGAGACTAGAGAACAGACAGATTCTGCATGCTAATACTAGTTTGTATTTATACACCATTTTCTTTAATTTATTTTTTCTTAAAATATTTGCTCCTATAGTAATACTCTATTTCAAGAAATAAGCCCTCTAGTAATGCCTAAGATGGTATTTCTAACTGCACAGGACAGAAATGACAGATACTTTAAGGAGGGTTAAAAAATACAAGCTGAACTGTATAGAAAATAGGTACATCCATTGACCTTTTTTACTTGGCTGGGGAAAAAACTAGCTAAATGACTAAAAGGAAATAATATTTTTGCATACCTACTCTGTGTCAAGCAAGACCATACCTCAGGAAAAGTGTGCCTACAGTAACATGGCAAGGTAAACAGAATAAATGCAAAGCTACAATAATGTTTACTTTAGATTTAAAATATTTGACCTAGAAAATTGAGAGTGCAAAGGCCTTCTACAAAGAAGGAACTGCAAAGTATTCATTGAGTAAAGGTCAAACCTCACTGTTTAAATATTAAAAGTAAACCACAAGCAAGTTTTTTATAGTCTTGTAACTTTTTTTCTGTTGTACTGTGCTTAGGGGATCAACTGCAGGGATTGGGATGCTAAAACATTAAAAAAAAAAAAAGACACAGTCTAACAGTTCACATATTCTGGGAATCACACCAATGACAAGTGAACTTGTGAACACAGTGAACGATGCACCCAAGAATCAGATCCAAAAGACAGTGTTAAAGCAGTAATTGAATATGGTCAAACTACTACTGGAAATACTTCAAATAACTAGTCAAGTACCTGATTTATATACAAAATGATGAATGTATCTGTTTATTTATTAATGTTTCTCTATGGCCCTTAGTTAATTCCTCAATTTCTTTAAAGAGAATGTCCATAAACCCCCTCTACGTACATGCAAAGGGACCAAAATGCATTTCTCCTCTTTATCAGCAGTGTAGACAAAACTTTAAAGCTACTACACCATTAGGCAAACATTATTTCATTCTTTGTTACAAATGTTGAGCTTAATTTCCTGCGTTATCTTTTCTTATAAAGTACAAAGCTAAATTCCTTTAGATTAAATGTATACATAATGTGACTCCATTGAAGGATTATTAACAGGCACAAGTTATGGAAGGGCAGATTAGGACTAACATATTAAAGAATTAGGATTGGATTTTTCCTGATATAAAACTAGCAATATCCAAAACTCAGTGAGACCTCATCACTCAGTGTTCAAGCACAAGTTAGATGGAGAAGCTATGTGGTGGGCTTAATGTTAAAATAAAGAAGCTGTACTTGTGTGATGGCCAGACTAGATGATGTGAAAGATCATGGATCATTTTTAAGATTTACAATAAAATACTACAGAGAATAAAATAAATTAAAGACATTCATAAAACAAGTATTTCAGTATGTCTTGGTCATCTACAAGATGTCAAGTATTACTCTATGTACTAGATATGAACTGAAAGAATAACCCTTGTCCTAAATACTAAATAGTTCACCCTCTAAAGAAGAGGGATAAGGAAACTAATAATTAATAGTGCTGATGGTTTTTCACTAAAGCCAAAATGGTATTCATAGATATGTGAATGAAGAGATTTACCTTATTCCTGTAACTTAATACTTCCAACAAACGAGCTAAGCAATGAAAGAATTCTTCGCTGTTCAAGCGTTCTATGCATGGGGTTTTCTTTTCTCTCAAAGAGCAAAATTTCCATCAGAAGTATTCCATGATTTTCCTCTAGAACGTCATCAAATCTCCATAGTAGTAAACAACTTTGTATTCCACTCTGATTTCTAAAAAAAAACCACTTTGAAAGGTAATCAAGGCCCTGGATCTGATGGAATAAATTACTTTAGTTGCAGTAGAGAATTCTTTCAGAATTTTTGGCAAAGATTTGTTTTATACATATATATACTTAGTAAAGCTTGAACCAGATGTGCAAGTGTGCTTGAACCTTCTCTGCAGAGAAGATGAAAATATGCCTTTCTGGTCAAAGAATCCTTAGGGGAAAAAAAAGCTTTCTATTTGAAGTTTCAAAGGGCTATACAGTTCCCAAAAGGGACTAACAAGCAGAAATAACACTTCGTATGATACTTCGAATACTAATCTACTGAGTACTGAAGTCCACTGCTCAAAGATAGGAGGAGCTAGAAATTTAAAAAACAATCAGTAATATCAGAGTCATGTGCACAAGGGATGAGATATAGCCTGTCAATTATTCAGTCATATCCTCAAAACCGTAGGAGAAATGTTATTTAACAGAATACCTGCTTCAAATGTTTTCCTTCTGTTCCAAGCCGCAAACCAGCTCTAACATTTCAAGCAAGGTTTCTCTATGTGGCTCCTTTTGCTTGCCTAAGATACTTTGAAAACTGACTTTACATTAAACAACTGCACAGAATAATGGAAAAAGCACTTCACTTTAGGAGGTGTATGAAATAAAATCTGGTGGGACATAGCAAACCTTAGTCAAAAAATGAGAAGAAAATGGTCAATTTATTTGGTAGGGTCAGCAAAGCTTGACTACAAGAAGTAACACAAAAATCTCAGGCTTAGGTCTATGCTTTTATAAGAGTGTGGTGTGTGTGTGCGCGCGTGCGTGCACACACACACACACACACACACACACACTATCATAAAACAGCAAGGTATATTCTTATTGGTTAGGGTCCCATACAGTAGTCTCAAATTTCTGACCCATTATTCTGTTAATTCTATAAAGATCTCTCCTGCTATGGAAGGACCTTAACCTGCCTAAAACAGTTAATTTCCCTTAGATGGTTAAGTAACTTTGCAACTCTGAGATTAAGAAATAAATCAAACTTAACCTTTTATATTGTGTTTAAGTAAAAGTATAGTAATAGCTCTGCAACCTTTTTTGATATAAAATTTATTTCACTTTAACACAGGAAACACATTTTTAATGGCACTCACGTTCATTTATAATGACTTGTTCATTATAACTTTTTAAGAATGTGTGTTTGTCTTTTGAACGTATTTGAAACCCTTAAGTGAATAAGCTATACAAAACTAATAACAGCTTAAAATTTTATAATTTAATTAAGCTAACCATGAAAATGGTAAAGAATTTTAGTCTGATTATTTCTTAAAATAATTGAGTGATTTGCTAAATTTACCAAGAGCATTTAATGCTTAAGGAAGGGCAGGTTATTTAAGCTAATAAATTTAATAAATATACTAATTAAAATTAAGTATTCCTTCCTATGCTCTCATACATTTAATGCCCCTTCGGATATTTTAAAAACCTGATTATCAAAAACACTGGTTTTTCTATTCTAGAATATATGATAATCAAAGTAAAATAGAAGAGTACTTATGATTCTTATTTTATTTTCTTCATTAGGCCTAATATTTAAAGAGAGGGACAAAGGCAGAGACGGATTGTCAAAAGATCAAAATGGCACAATGGTCTCTTAGTCCTATCGAATGGAAGTCATTCTAGAGGCCTCAGCACTGCTCCCATGAAGCTTGTGCTACCAGGCTGTGGAACAGTCATGTAACTACAGTTGTCTGAAATGAACAGCATTTGATATAAAGAAATTTTTCTTACAAAGACAATTTTTCAACCAACCAAATCAAAGGGAAAAAAATGTGCCTGATTCAGGAATCCCCTGAAGTCCAGCCACAGCTTTAGAACCTTTAATAAAAGTGACAAGTGCCAGGAAAGAAACAGGTATAAATGAGAAGGTGGTAACAAGTGTACACATATATATAATTTGAAAAGATACATGCCATAGAGAATACTTTAAGAATCTTTGAGGTTTCTGACAAACATACTCTTACCACACGATCCAGCAACCGCATTCCTTGATATTTACCCATAGGAGTTTTTTGGGTTTTTTTGTTTTTTGAGATGGAGTCCCACACTGCCGCCCAGGCTGGAGTGTAGTGGCACAATCTCAGCTCACTGCAATCTCCGCCTCCCAGGTTCAAGCAATTCTCCTGCCTCAGCCTCCCCAGTAGTTGGGATTACAGGTGCCCACCACCATGCCCAGCTAATTTTTGTATTTTTAGTAGAGACAGGGTTTTGCCATGTTGGCCAGGCTAGTCTCGAACTCCTGACCTCAAGCGATCTGCCCATCTCAGCCTCCCAAAGTGCTGGGATTACAGGCATGAGCCAGTGCGCCCAGCCTACCAAAAGGAGTTGAAAACTTCTGTCCACACAAAAAACTGCACACAGATGTGTATAGCAGTTTTATTCATAACTGCAAAAACTTGGATGCACCAAGATGTCCTCCAATAGGTGAATGAATAAGTAAAATGTGGCACCTACAGACCATGAAATATTATTCAGCACTAAAAAGAAATGAGCTATCAAACCATGGAAAGACAGACAGGAATCTTAAATACATATTAGAAGCCAACCTGAAAATGCTACATACTGTATGATTTCAATTACATGACATTCTGGAAAAGGCAAAACTATGGAGACTAAAAAGATCCGAGGTTGCCAGGAGTTAAGGGGTAGGGAGGGATAAACAGGTGGAACACAGAGGATTTAGTACAGTGAAAATACTCTGTATGATACTACAATGGTGGATACATGTCATTACACATTTATTCAAACCCACAGAATGTACAATACCAAGAGAGGACCTTAATGTAAACTATAGACTTTGGGTGATACAGTGTGTCAACGCAGGTTCATCAATTGTAACAAATGTACTCCTCTGGTAGGGGCTATTGATAACGGGGGAGGCTGTGCTTATGGAGGGGCAGGAAGTGTATGGGAAATGTGTGTACCTTCCTCTCAATTTTGCTGTGAATGTAGCACTGCTCTAAAAAATAAAATCTTAAAAAGAAAAGTCTTTGAGGTTTCAAAAATGGAAAATGTTGCAACTGTATGACAGGATTAGAAAAAGGCCATAATGAAGAAGGGTGATGTCTGGCACAAATAATAAATAGCATAGGTAAATGTGAAAGAGACACTGGTTATGTGTAAGTCTTGGAGGTAGGACTGGAAAACAGGGCCATACTGTGGAAGGCTATGCTGCAGGAAGATCTGGTACTAACAGTTAGCACTAATAAACCACTTCAAGTTTCAGAGTACAAAATCAGCTAACCACAAGGACACCTGAAAACAATAATTTGGCAAAAGTGTGTAAGATAGACTTCACAGTACACCTAGTTCTAGCTATCGTCCCAGTCCCTGCTTTTTAATCCTACTAGTAATTTCTCACTCTCCATTCTTTAATCTGTGCAAGAAACTTTTTAAAAATATTAGGTACCACAACTTAGTGTAAACAGCCATTTTCATAAACACACTCTTTATAATGTTATCTAAGTCATGAATGATGTTAGCCTGAAGAAAATTCTAGGGAAGTTGACATTCTCATCTCCTCCCACACTGACAGTAAATTATGTAAATTAATCTTTGAGAACAGACCTTTAAAACCAGTTTTAAACTTCATTATATCCCAAACCTGATTCTCCAAAAGAGCAGCTGACTTTGTCCTTCAGCATCAAAAAGAGGTATCATGTAAAAACAAGTACTTTTGTGGGTTTACATCCTTGCCCTGCACTTACCAGTTGTATACCTGGACAAGTTACTTAGCCCTCTGTGCCTCAGTTTCTTGATCTATAAAACTGTAATAATGACATGGACTACCTCAAAGGATACTGTGAAAATTGCATGAGTTATTTTGGGGGAAAGGGGAGGATTTTGTTTTTAGTGTTTTTATTTATTTATTTATTCTTTTTTTAGAGACAGGGTCTCACTCTGTCATCTAGGCTGGAGTACAGTGGTGCAATCATGGCTCACTGCAGCCTGGACCTCCTGGCCTCAAACAATCCTCCACCTCAGCCTCCCAAGTAGCTGGGACTACAGGAGCACACCACCACACCCAGCTAGAGTTATTCATATACATCTAAATCTGTAATGCAGAAGTTGAACTCAGCTGTTCAACTTCTAACTACATTTATGCCTGTGATTATTTTATGCAGTATCATAGATTTAAATATCACTTACATGTTAATAACTCCCAAATTTCTATCTCCAGCACAGAGGACTTTTTCCCAACTACCCAATTCTATCTTCTCCCTACTCCCAACCATCCAACTGCCTACTTGACATCTCCACTTATTCCACATCTAACAGGCATCCAAACTCTCAATATATCCAAAACAGAACCTCTGATTTGCCCCAAAACCTATTCTTCCTTTTTCTTCCACAACTCAATTAATGGCTATTCTTTCAGCTGCTCAAGCTAAAAACCTTGGAGTCCTCTTTGCCTCCTCTCTTTAGCCCATTACCCACCCCCCACCTAAACCACCATAAAAATCCTGTCAGTTTTTCTTTCAAAATATATACATAAAGTATTTATACAAATACAAAATGCAATCACTTCTAACCATCTCCATAGCTACTATCTGTCTTGGTCAAAGCCACTATCATTTCTTATCTGCATTATTACAAAAGCCCACCTCTACTTCAGCTTCTGCAAACCGTTCTTAATAGAGAATCCAGAATGGTCCTGTCAAAATATGTTTTCTGCTTAAAACCATGTAATAGTTTCTCACCACCTCAGTCAGAAAAAAAAGTCCACCTCCTTACCATGACTTTCAAAGCTTAACATGATCTGGCCACCTATAGTCTCTCTAACCTGTATCTCCTACTTCCCTCTCTCATTTATTCCACTCCAGCAACACCAGTCTCGTTGCTATTCTTCCTACACATCAGACATATTTCCATCTTTGGGCCTTTAAATCTCTGTTCCCTATGACTACTGCGCTCTTCACTCAAATACACAGAAATTCACTCTTCCATTAACTACAAGTCCTTACATAAAGTCCTTACACTTTTTCAACAGAATTGGCCTGTGCATTCCAAGCCACCAACCCACCTGTCACTCAAAATTGCCACTACCCTGCCATAGGGTAACTTTCTGATACACTGTATTATTTTTTAATTTGCTTATCATTTTTATAATTTATTGTTTCCCTCCCTACCCAAATGAAAGTTCCATGCAGGTAGGTGTTTTTATTTGTTTTGTTCACTAACAGATAGATGAATTAATCATAGACCAAAGTAATTTGTTTTATATGAAATGAATAACTAATTCAAGTCTCTCATTCTGAAGGAGACAGTTAAGAAGCAGTTTGACTCATACAGAAGCAATCAGTAAGCAGCACAGTCCAGAATAAAAGCAAGACTCCTTGGTCTCAGCCCGAGGCTTTTTTCCACCAGAGCACACTGATAGAATGTAAGAGAATATATAGAAAACTAAATTTTTTAAAACAAGCATGCATACACATAAACACACAGACACATATACAGACACATCTCACATTAAAATATTACCACTGCCAGCTGGGCACAGTAACTCGCATCTGTAATCTCAGCACTTTTGGAGGTTGAGGCGGGTGGATCATTTGAGGTCAGGAGTTTGAGACCAGCCTGGCCAACATGGTGAAACCCATTTCTACTAAAAATACAAAAATTAGCCAGGCATGGTGGCGCACACCTGTAGTACCAGCTACTCAGGAGGCTGAGGCACAAGAATTGCTTGAACGTGGGAGGCAGAGGTTGCAGTGAGCCAAGATCATGCCACTGCCCTGCAGCCTGGGCGACAGAGCAAGACACTATCTCAAAAAAATAGATAAAATAAAATAAAAAATAAAATAAAATAAAATAAAATATTACCACTGCCCGGTGGTAGTTTACACAAGGTAATTACATTCTCCAAACTTTTATTACTTACCTCTACCCCAGATTTTTTTGGTATCTGTGTTATAGTTTCTTTGAATTTATTTGCCTTTTCAAGTTGAACTTTAAGTTGTTCAGCTAATTCCTTCAAAAAGAAAAACAAGTAAAATATGTGCGATATGTAGTTTAATTCTTTACGACAAAATGTTCAAATTTACACAACAGAAGGAAAAACAGCATAACCAACACTCATGTAGCCTTCATCTAATTTCAATTACCAACCCATAGCCTAGTATACTACTTTTTAATGAACTTATCTCAGTTACAAACTTCTTGAATACCTGTGACATGCTTCAAAGATAAATAATTATAAGGACATATATTTTGGAAGAGATAGATGAAGGAAATACATAACCTTAATGACATTTTAATAATTACTAAATATTACAAAAGTTCAATACTTTCAACTTCGGTTATTGGTAACAAAAAAGCTATCACAAGATTTAAACTGTTACCTTCTTTATTGTTGATAATTTAGATGAAAATTCCGAAGATATTTCATTTTTACTCTAGGAAACTTATAGAAATTTATATAAAACAACTGCCATATAAAGCAATAAACCATGAAGTAATACATTAAATAAGTAGATTTATGTGACATGCAAAGAATAGCAAGCACCACCACAGTGTTCTTCTTGAACACAAGAACACATATTTCACCCTTTTACCTAGATGACCTCTCTTTCACTATTTTAACTAATTCCTCTGTACTTTCAAAGCTCAAACTTTACTTTCTTGCTATCGTTACTGTTGTTGGTTTACTTCCCTTACCAATTTCTAGGACGAGTGGAAGTTCAGTGTTTCCAAGGATCAGATTCAAAGAGATAGAGCAGCATATGCAAGATATGCCCTTTATTAGACATAACACAGAAATATCTTGTTTGGTTACCATTTGTTCTACTACAGTATTGTACTAATAGTTTACCAAAACATAAGACTACTTAAAGATCCCTTATATTTGGGTTTGAGATGAGTGCATACATATGACCATGACTGAATCTATTCTATCAAGATGTGGAATATCTGGCTGTGCTATTCTGCCATGTGCACTTAAATATATACATCTCACTGTATATTATTTTAATATGCATGTGACAATAAGTGAATGGATGAATGGATAAATGCAGCTCTTACCAAATCATCCCTATTTCTTACAATTCTGAGGTAAATTAGTCTTAAATCAAACATTACTACAGGAATTAAATGAGTAAGCCTACACAAAGCATCTAACACAGTATCAGGCACAGCACATTTACTTAAAACTTGAATAAATGACTTAATCCTCCTTTTTAGGTTCCTAAGTAATTTGGAAAAGTAAAAAACATTCTTACAAATATATGACAAAAATGAGGTAGAAAAAGTGACATCTTTATCTCCCTTAAATATGCTCAATGAGTTACAAATGCAGGAATAAAGTAAATAGCCAAGTAAAAAAGAAATTTAAAAGCATGAAGTTCCTTAGTATCTTCAATTTCAGAGATCTGACAGAGAAAGTAGATCATTTATTTAGAAGTAGATAGTATTCTTCACAGAAAGGTTCGAGAATTTTTTTTTTTTTTTTGAGACACAGTCTCGCTTCGTCACCCAGGCTGGAGTGCTGCAATGGCGTGATCTTGGCTCACTGCAATCTCCGCCTCCCAGGTTCAAGCGATTCTCCTGCCTCAGCCACCCCGATAGCTGGAATTACAGGCATGCGCCACCACACCCAGCTAATTTTTGTATTTTTACTAGAGACAGGGTTTCACCATTTTGGCCAGGCTGGTCTCGAACTCCTGACCTCAAGTGATCCGCCTGCCTTGGCCTCCCAAAGTGCTGGGATTACAGGCATGGTGCCAGGCCTGAGAATTTCTTTAAGGAATCAATAACCAACAGTTATTTTCACAGTGTGCTATATCCACACTGCTAAGGAACTTCTAAAATTACTCATAAGAAGTTAAACATTTAATCATTATTCTCTAAAGCAACATCTAAGAGTCTTACCATATTCCCCATCATCTCTGCTTTGATAATCTTGGCTCCCAACTTGTTCTTCTCATCAACACTCAGGATGTGAATGGACTCACGCTCTGGACTGCTATTGGAATAGGAAAGATTAACAGCATATGAAATATAGGTGCGATGCAAGCAATAACATCAAGACTCAAATGTTATTTTAACTGACCTCAACAAAGCATTCAGTACCAATAGCAGATCATGATTGTAATACATGTAAATTAAACTCAATATTTTTCCACAAATTGATAAAGTTCTCTGTTACAATGCCACAACCACCTATGGCAGTTATAATAACTGATCAAAATCCCAATAACAATGAGATAAATAGTACTTATCAACTCTTCTTATTTAATATCCCCATACTCGTAACTTTAAAAAGGAAACAAACAAAAAACGTTCGAACCAGGCCATAATTCTATACATCTTTGGAAACTCTTCTCATTCGACATAAGTTGTTAATAATCTAAGAAACTATAAAATGATATATATATCTAACTGCATTCAAAGAATAAAAGCATTGATCGTGTGCTTTTTTGTAAAGTCAGTCCAGAACATAACATATAGTCAAATAATATAAACTAGTTTAAAACTGGTATCATGTGCCAAACCTATACTATGGAAGCCTCACACAAAAAAAGAAACCTCCAGCCAAGGTCAGATTTCCCTAGCTTACTGCCTTAAGAAATAATTCAAGGCTACAGTGCAGGACAGTGACCTCAGTCAGAGTCTGAAGGATTTCTGAGTAAAGGAGACATAGCCAGGAGTCCAAGAATTCCAAGGCAGCTAGAATTCACAGAACAGAGTACCAAAGAAGCGAAAGCTGCACCATAAGAAAATCCCAGAGAACTGCAGAGGGTTCCCCTTGAGTACTCAGCAAGAAACCACCTGCAGTCAGGGAAAGAACTAGCCCAGAGGATTGGAGGTAGAGTACCTGGCATTCCTGGGAACTGCTTATCCAGTCCCACTAGCTAGACTAGGAAATCACGTAATTCAAAAAGCACTAGACACAGTATTAAAGAGTCTTGCTTCATTAGTGGGAAACAGCATGCCCTAGACTAAATGCTGCTCTGGGCCCACCTAAAAAATGTTAAAACAAAAGTTAAAAGGATCAAATGTTTTCCAATTAATCAGAACAATATAAATATTCCAGAACAAAGCTCAGGAATATTTATAGAAATTCAAAAATGTCTAGCACTCAACAAGGTAGTCTGTAAAACTTAGTATCTAATCAATGATGATCAGACAGGCAAATAAGTAGAAAAACACAACCCATAATTAGAACAAAATGCTATCAGTCAAAATCAACCCAGAACTGACACAGATGTAAAAAACAGCAGACAAGGATACTAAAAGTGATTATTATAACTGTGTTCCATAGGTTCAAAAAGTCAGACACAACAAAGATATAAAAAAGATCCAAAATAAACTTTTACAGATGAAAACTACAATGTGTGAGATAAAAAATATATGGGTAAGATTAATGGAAAATTAAGCTGCAGAAGTAGAGTTTGGTGAACTTGAAGCAATATGAAAAATGAAACAGAGAAAAGAATCTGTAAAAATGAAAAGAGCATCAGAGGGCTGTGGGACAACCTTAAGTATCCCACCATACATGTAACGGAAGATAACTATTTTTAAAATATATTTGAGGTTTATAACAAGTATAAGTAAAATGTATGAGAACACTAACAGAAAGGAAAGAAAGGGAGAAATATAAATAAACAATGATAAAGTTCTTACACCATTCAGGAATAGCATATCACTTGAAGATAGACTATGATAAGTTAAAGGTATAGTACACCATCAAAGACAAAGCAACCACTATTTAAAAAAAAATATATAGCAACCAAGGAAATGAAATGGAATCATAAAAATAATCCAAAACAAGTAAGAAAAAGAGGACAAAGTGAAAAAAGAACAGATGGGAAAAATAGAAAACGAATAGCAAAGTTACATATTTGAACCTAATTATATCAACAACATTATATATAAATGGTCCAAATACCTAAATTAAAAGGCAGAAATTATCAGATGGATATAAAAGCAAAATTCAACTACAAGAAATGTTCTATAAATACACAGACATACGTATGTTAAACATAAAAGGATAGAAAAAGATATACCATGTTAATGCTAGTCAAAAGAAAGTTGAAGTGGCTACATTAATATCAAACAAACAAGATTACAGAGGAAAACAATATTACCAGGGACAAAGAACGTCATTTCATATGAAAAAGGAGTCAATCCAGCAAGAGCGTTTGAATACATGAGCAAAAACTGACAGAAGAGAAATAAACAAATCCACAATTATAGCTATAAATTTCAATACCTCTCTCTCAATATTTGATAGGATAAATATAATAGTCCCCCCCCTTATCTGCAGGAGTTATGTTCCAAGACCCTCAGTGGAAGCCTGAAATCTTGGATAGTACCAAACCTTATCTGTAGTATTTTTTTTCCTATATATACATACCTATGTTAAAGTTTGACTTATAAATAAGGTATAGTAAGACACTAACAACAACAACCAATAACAAAATAGTACAATTACAACAATATACTGTAATAAAAGTTATGTGACGGTGGTATCTCTTGCAGAATACTGTAATATTTTCAGAGCATGGTTGATCATGGGTAACTGAAACCTCAGAAAGCAAAACCATGGATAAAGGGGGACTACTGTAAACAGAATCAGCAAGCATAAGGAAGACCTGAATAATACTATCAACTAACATGCCCAAATGGACATCCATAGAACACACCACCCAACAAGAATAGAAGACACATTCTTTCCAAGTGCATACAAAATATTTCCTGAGATACACCATGTTCTAAGCTATACAAACAGTCTCATAAATTTAAAGGAATTCAAGTTGTATAAACTATGTTCTTTTATCACAATGAAATTAATTAGAAATCATTAACAAAAGTCTCTGGAAAATCCTCAACTATAATACTTGGAAACTAAATAGCGCAACTGTAAATAACCCATGGGTCAAAAATAAGACCAAAGGAAAATTATATGACACATGTCTGAACTGATGGAATGCTGCTAATTCAGGGGGAAATTCATAGCACTAAATATTTATATTAGAAAAGATCTCAAATCAATCACCTCATCTTACACCTTAAGAAAGCAGAAAAAGAGCAAATTAAAACAAAGTTTAAAAAATTCAAAAAACAATAAAAATCAGAGTAAAATAAATAGAAAATAGAAAAACAATAAATTCAGTGAAACCAAACGCTGATATTTAAGGCAATAAAATTGATAAACCTATAGCCTGCCTGATAAAAAAGAGATCTAAATTACTAGTAGAGAGGTAACAGCACTACACGTTGTAAGCACTTTACAAAAAGATATCCAGATGGCAAATAAGCACATAGAGAGATGTTCGGCATCAGTAGTCATTAGCCATTAGGGGAATACAAATTAAAACCACAATGAGCTACCACTACACATCCGCTAGAAGAGCTAAAATTTACAAGACTGACCATTCCAAGTTTTTACAAGGATGTGGAGAAACTGAAACTCTTATACACTGTTGGTGATCATGTAAAATGGTACAATCACTTTGGAAAACAGTTTAGCAGTTTCTTAGTATTTAAACATACAGTTACCATATGATTTAGCTACTGCTCTCCTAGGTATATTTATCCAAGAGAAAGGAAAGCATATGTCAACACAAAGATTTGTACCTGAATGTTCAGAATTGTACATAATTTATAATAGCCAAAACGTGGAAACAATCTCAAATTCACCAACAGGAGAATGGAAAAACAAATTGTGATGTACCCACCAATAGTATATTACCCATCAATAAAAAGGAATGAACTACTGACATATGCAACAACATAAATGAAGCTCACAATAATTACTCTGAGTGAAAGAAGACAGACCAAAAAGAGTGCATAATGTATGATCCCATTTACATCGAACTCTAGAAGATGCAAACTACGGTTGACCCTTGAACAACACAGGGGTGAACTGCCCAGGTCCACTTATACACAGATTTTTTTCACCCAAACGTCAATCAAAAATGCAGCATTCATGTGATGTAAAAACTACATATACCAGAGTAACATTTTCATACATGTGGGTTCCAACTTGAGTATGTGCGACTTTGGAATACTTGAGTGGTCCTAGAACCAACTCCCACGAATTCCAAGGGACAACTGTAGTCTATAATGAAAGAAAGCAGATGTGGTTGCCTAGGAGTGGAGAGCAGGGGTGTGGGAAAGCAGGAGAGAGAGATTATAAAAGGGCACAAAGGCTTTCAGGGGGGTGATGGTTTAATGAGAACATATGCATTTCAAAATATACCAAAATGTACACTTTTGTATATTTGCAGTTTATTATATGTCAATTATACCTCAAAGTTTTTTTAACCCTCAAAGGGAGTAATACATTTTAAAACCAGAGTATAACTAATTTGTCATAATCTTAAATATAAAGGATATATCTGGTATTATTAGTTTTCCTGAATTCCCAGATTCTATAATACTCTATAAAAATTAACCTTAATCATATTTTCTACAAATTTGGTTTTCCAAATCAAAACATGACCTACCAACAATATATGGAAATTATTTTTAAATAGTGAATTCTTCTGGGAGGGGAATCTTTTAACAGACAGATAGCATTGGAATAAAAAAAAATCTCTACAGAAAATGTATAGTAGCCATTTCTTCCCACATTGTTGAAAGGAAAGGCAATACTCTGGTGTTTAAGAAATCTAAAATATTTGAGGTAAAGCAACACTAGAAAGTAACATATTTTCATTCCCCTCATATTATTTCAGTCATTTTAAAAAACAATGAAAATGAACAGTAGGGACACTGCATTCATGTAAGCAGGAGAATGTTATTACTTTTTATATGCATCCGTGGGCTGAGTTATTGCTTGTTTTATTAGTTGTACTTTTTTGTATGGAAAATATTTTTCAGTACTTTTTCAAATTAAATGCTAAGGTACATGTCATTTTCATTGTATTGCAAATGTAATTTACCAGAATTTCTGGCAAACTAATCATATCTCTCTTTTACTTACTAACCAAAACAACTTTCCTCAATTTGCATTCTTTCACATTCAATTTTCCAAAATTCCCTGCTTTAAAAACTTATGTTTATGTTTATTATGTGGAATTATAGATATTACATTTTTACATGTATGTATAACACAAATTAAATAACCACAGTTCATGCCCTTTCTAAAGAGCACCAGTGCAATTATTCCCCTATGAAGTCGCTTTCTCCAGGGTCTGTCTCTCAAATTCTTGTTTCCTAAGTGAGAAACTTCTTGGCTTCTTTTCCTTCTGCCATTTGTACCTGACCAGGTTTTTCTTTCCAACTAAAGTTATGTCTAGTTCCTCCATTTCTCATCTCAACATCGGCCAACTAAGAAACCAAAGAACCAAAGAAAGGTTCTTTAGGATAACGAAGCTATTTACGCAGTATTTCTACAATCCTTTCTGTTATTCCAATAGATGCTTACTATAAACCAGATGTAGAACAAGTCCACACATAATCTCCTATTGAGCTCCATATCCAGAAATAAGTCATCTTGCAAGCAACCTTAAGTCTGACAGGATCAGAAGAATTAAAGACCAAGCCATCCATCAATCCATCTCCTTCTCTTGAGGAGAAATGTTTGAGGATTATTAACACAAACGACTACATCAAATGTCAATATGACAATAGATACCTACTAATATATATGAGCAAAAAAAAAAAGTATAAATACCTAAAAACAGGGTACTAATCAAATTCTCAGTTTCTAATGTGAGCTTCTCATGAAGAACTAGAAGTTGTTTCTTTATAATACCAATACCAATCATAACTGACTCTCCATATATAGATCAAGGGGATCACCAATATTCTGGGAATCATATGTCAAAAAAATACTGGCATTAAGTCATTAAGAAATAATTCCTCAAATTTCTCCCTTGTCACCCACAATCTGTAGCCACATTTCCCTCTTTTTTTTTTTTAACTATCTCCACCCAAAGCTAATCCTTCTACTTTTATAACTGAAATGGACCCCACACTCACCCATACTAACCTCAGGGATCTTGCTCAGTTGCCCCATCTATCATCTGCCTAGCTGTCTTGCTTCTTCTAAAAAGGATACTGACTCTTTTCCATTAAATATAAACATGTTCTAGTATAAATACACTTTCTATCTCTACCATTCCATAACTCTTAATAATTTAGTCTACTAAAATCTGGCTTCTATACACCCTTTTATAATAAAAAAAAAAAAGCCCGGATTAAGTAGCCAAAGAAGTTTGTTATTATCCATCCAAAGCGCACATCTTTGTCATTTTACTTTCCTCTTCCCCTCACTTCCCAGGATAAAAGTTTAGATATTCAATCAAGGAAGGGCAATGAAGGTAGGCTGAAGTGCATCTAAAGCCCACGAGTTCCAGAAGATAACTAGAATCTCAATAGATCTTTAAAAGAGGTGATTTCCATTGTCATGAAATGGAATGCTCCACACAATTTTTTTAGTATTTTCTAACAAGAATTAAATTGTTTATTAGTAGATGAGGATAAATGACAAAAATATACAAGAATTCTGAACATCTTTTATAGTAGTAATTTCAACATTAAGTTACTTGAACACAATGTAACAGTAATAGGTGTCAAGTAAAGACATTTAAATGAAAGTTGTTGAGCACAAAGTAACTGAAGAAAATATTATTCTATTTTATTTTGTGAACACCACAGCAAAGACACTGTTCTACAGCAAACATCAGGGAATGGGCTCTTCCTTTCTTTCCCCAAGTGTTTATAATGATGAGCAAATGCTTTGAAAGAAACATCACCATGACACCTGCAATTATCCTGCAAAAAGAAAAAAAGCCCAAACATGTCTCAATTTCAAGAATTACTGCTATATTTCAGAAGTCCTTTTTATAATTAATTTCTAAAAAGCAAATCCTATTTTCACATTAAAATGTACTCTCTTTGAAACACACACACACACACACACACACACACACACACACAAAGAGGTTGAAAACCTTTGAGAAATAAGTAACTAAAAGAGCTCTAGCCCAGTAACATTTTTAAAACCTGAAATTAGTCATGCATAGCATAACGACGTTTCACTCAACGACAGACCACATGACAGTAATCCCGTAAGATTATAATGCTGTATTATTACTGGACCTTTTCTATGTTATGTTTAGATACACAAATACTTATCATTGTGTTACAATTGCCAACAATGCTCAATACAGTAACATGTTCTACTTTGCAGCCTAGAGGCAACAGGCTGTACCATATAGTGTAGGTATGCACTAAGCTTAAGTACACACTACGCTGTCCACACAATGACATCACCTAATAATGAATCTGCCTAATGACAATTTCTCAGAATATATCCCCACTGTTAAGCCACATATAATTTTATTATTCTTGTGCTGGCAGTGTTCACAGATCTCCCTTATTTACCAGCTGCTCTCATATTTGCTTCCTTGCTTAAAGATCTCACAACTATACTCAAAGCCTTCAGAATCTAGCATCCTTTGCTTGCCCTTCTGGGCTACAGTAACAAACTCTGCCAAGAATGACATCCAAAGGTTAAAATATTATATAAAATGGGTTAGTTTCTGATATTAAATTTGTAAAACCAAAATTAAGGACTTCTCATTAATTTTTGTTCACATTACATACTCCTCTAAGTTTTAAATTCCTGGAAATACTTAGCCAATATATTTTCTAACACAAGAAAAATATATGCAAAAGCACATTTCATTTCTAATAATAAAAAGCTCAAGGTTCTCAATTGCATGGCAGTGGACGTTTTTCTGCTAGTTAACATAATCGCAGGGCCTAAAATGAATAAAGAAAAAGAGTGATAAATTTGAACACATTAAAGAAAGAATGAAAAATGAAAGGAAATTTACAAATGATGAAAAATCTATTTGTATTACATGACAAATATAAAGAGCTCTCACAAACAAACAATAGCTCAAAAAAAGGGCAAAACATATGACTAGTTAACAAAAAAATACAAATAAACAACACATAAAAATATGGCAAACTTCACTCATATTTAAAAAAATAAAAATCAAAGAGTCTGTTTCTCAACTACACATATGGCAAAGATTTAAAAAGTTCAATAATACTATCAGCAAGAAGTAGGAGAAAAGTCATTCCAATGCAATATAAAAGTCTAAATTGGTTAATACTGCAAAATATGTAAAAAGTAAAATGCATGTACTCTTTGACCTGACAGTTCCACTCCTTGGAATTTATTTTACAGCTATATTTAAATAGCATGCAAAGATACTCACAAAAAATTAAATGCGGAATTGTTTCTTAGAGCAACAAAGTGGAAACAACCTAAAATTCCATCAATAGGAAACCAGTGAAAAATATTAGGTTATGCCTAAGTTTTACAATGGAGTATTAAAGAGCCTTTAAAATAAAAAAATGTAGGTACATATGGGCTAAAGTAAAAAGATCTTTAAGATATACTTATTGGGAAAAAAAACCAAGATTTTGAATGGTATATGCATTGTAGAGCTATTTAACTTACATATATTAAATATATAAGTTATGTTTTTATAAAATTTTATACATTAAGTTAAATATATATATTACACATTTTCAAATACACTAAAAAATTTGGAAAGACACTACCAACACTGTTAACCTGGCAAATAGGATTAGGGTTGGAAGTGACATGAAAGGGAGATTTACTTTTTCATTTTATACTCACCTATGCTTCATATTCTTGTTTTATACTCTTCTGTCTATATTGTTTAAATTTTATACATATACATTTATTAAGATTACAAATGGCATGTTCTAAAAAATAATACTGGTGTAAATAACAAGAAAGGTAAAGATATATGAACAATACATACAAAGAAGTAAAAACTAATTCAACTAATTTTTCCAATCATGACCATTCACTTATAAGACAAAGATTATTTGTAACAACTAGGCATTCTTCAAGGTCCTGTCTTGGTCTCCTACTTTACAACCACTCTACATTCTCAGGAATCTTTTTTTTTGGATGATTCCTAGATTTTTCTTTCCCTCTCCAGCCAGTCACAGAATTCATAGAAAGCCTCAAACCCTCTGTACCATCAAATTAACACAGCGAACAAAGAATACTGTCTTCAAAGGAAAAATTACATGTATACATACATATATATACACACATATATAGCTTTTAGTGAGTGCTGTCTTCAAACCGAAAAATTATATACATACACAGCTTTTAGTGAGTGCCTGTATTATAGTGTATCTATCAGAAGCTTACAACTTAAATAAGACATACAAATATGCAGCAATCAGACAACCGGTTGGAATACTAATCGTGTGGTATTACTTTGCAGACATTTTGCTTAGCTACAGTCACAGAAGAAGGCCTACAGATCATCCAAATGCTAACCCAATCCTAATGATATCAGGAAATAAGAGCCTCATTCCCCTAGTGACTGGGAACTGGAAATAGTCTACCACCCAGGGCACCTGGAGTGAAGACTGGACAATTACATATGCATACAGCCTTAGACAATAATCCCTGCCATGTTTGTTTAGTCAATACAATTGGATTTCTCCTTCCACTTCCTGGGAGGAAAGCCCTGATGTGAACCAGAGTCCATTTGACTGGGGCTTAATCACTCAGTTCAGATTTTGCCAGCTCCCTCCCACCGAAAATTACACACTGAGTTTTATAATCCACTGCTTCAGATGGAGTCATTAACAAAAGTGATTTATCAGACTCACAACCCCAAACCACAGTGCTTTTATCTACTACAACCATGTGTTTCTATTATTTCCTAAAACCTCTTCCTTTAGTGTCCCACTCATTTGGTGCTATTTTTAAACATATTTTAATGATCATTCACGTGTAAGTTGTTACCCTTTGGACACTTTTTTTTCTGGCTATCTCCAACAGGGCCAGCAAATTTCTAAAGCAAATTTTCTTAGGTTTAGTCCCATTCAACCTGGGTTTCCTCATCTTCTAACCCAGCCCTACATAAATGCAACATATATTTTATATTTAAAACTCTAATATTATCTTTAAAATCTGTCAATTGCCCAAAGTGGATTATTTCTTTCTTTGTGCAAAATAACAACCATAATTCATGCTCCCCTCTGCAAGATCTCTGGCATGTATTTGTCACTTTATATTTGGGCCGTGGCAGCGTGTTTTCCTTTTGTCTCCTAGACTTCCTATAGACATGCAGTATTTATGATTATGATTATACTCAACAATAAGATAATTTCCTTAGAAAGTAATGGCATTGGTAACAAAATCTACCAAAATATCTCCTGCAGCACATACATTTAAAACATTAACTCATTCAGTTTTTTAAATTGCAAAGCAGCAACATATTTTGAACAAATATAGCTACTGCTTTCAGCTCTTAAAAAAAAAAAAACCTATGAAATAAAATGCAATCCATACCACAATACTGCCTGTTAAATCTGCATATCTTACCCCTTCTATCAATTTTAAGAAATGTGAGATCATAGTCACAGCTAATAACTGATGTTCTAAAAATACAGTTCTGTTCTTTGAACTCTCTGGATCTTAACTTATTAGGTTAAAAAATGATAAAATACCCAGCAAATGTAGACTTTGTATCCCGTAGATGTTCTTTTTTTGGAGGGTCATCTCTCAAGACTTCATCTTGTGATTTTTCTCTTGGGTCTTCTGGAACATGTTGGTGTTCATCAGTACTGGTTTCCGATGGCTTTTGATTTGAATGTTTCTTGTCTCCTCTCCCATCAGAGCGACTCCATGATGTTAATCTTTCTTCACTGTTCTTGGTGGGTTTTCTAAAACCACTACACAAAGAGCCCTGAGCTACCAATGCTGAAGATGAACTAAGTGGTTCAAATTTTCTGCCCTTGCTGTGAAATGACAGTTCTTCATCATCAGAGGGTCTCAAGAATTTAGCTCTCAAATTGCCAAAAGAAAACTCTTGATTTTGCCTTGGGTTAGATTCTCTTCTACACGTTTCTAAAGACCCAGGTCTCTTATCTTTTTCATCACCAATAAATTTTTCATTATTGCTATTTTTTGCAGTATCTGTTGTAGCATATCTATCCCTTGAACTGTTACCATATTTTACTAAGTCTGATTCTCTACTTTCTTGACAATTTTGTGCTTTATCTGAATATGTGGGTTTCCTCCACCGTTCCCGTCTATAATCTTCTTTCGTGGATGCAGCTTTTTCAGCATCTTCTAATTTTGACTGAAATATTTCCATTGACTACAAAGGAGAAAAATTAAACAAGATATCTAAAATTAGGAACGGCTCAGTGACTTGCACCCCACATGTCACTGTATGACTCACTGCCAAGTGGCACACTGAAAAGCCCACTAACGGGGTGAAAGAAGACCCATACAATCATCCTATACGGAAACGAATACTTTCTAAAAATGTGTAAACAATTAAAAATTATTAAATAACAAAAAGATTCCAAAAGGATAGCCAGTTACACCAAACACTCTGCACTAACACAAAGTATAACACAGAAAACAGTAGAGACAAACTTTGCAAAAAATACTTAATTCCTACTGGTTGTGAGATTCAAGAGGTTAAATTGCTAAAACAGATTCTCACCAAAAAAAAAAAAAAAAACAGAATAGTTCAAGAACAAGAAAGACTTGGAAATAAAAAATTGTGTGTCCCAAAAAGCTGCCAAGATACACCAAAAGGAAGAAAAGACAGTGCTGAAAACTAAATTAACCTGGGAATTCTCTATATTTTAGGAAAAGGTAGTAAATAAATGTAAGTTATAAGAAAAAAAGATACATGAACAATTGATTCTAGAAAATCTAATATGCATTTATTAGTACTTCCAGAAAGATGGAGCAAAGATGATGGGAATAGAGCATTAATTTTAAAAATATATAAGAAAATTTCCCCAGCCGATTTCTCAGAAGGACTCATCCAATAGCCTTGGGTGGGGGAGAAAGAAGAAAAACACAGAAAAAAACCCTAATACCTGAATCTCAAAACTCAAGGAAAAAAAAAAAAACCTTTACAAGGACTAGATCAGGGAAGGAGTGAATAAGTGTGAGCCTGTATATGGATAGGGGTAGATAAATAACAAATTATCCACAAAGGAAAGACAGACTTACAGCTGTTCATCCATAATAATAAGTAAATAATAGAATGAAGATTAAATTTTGAAAACAAAATTAAGCTATAATTCTATATAGAGAATTCAATTCACAGTCAAATTATCCTTCCTTGGTATGGGCCAAAGAAAATCATTTTCAAAAATGCAGGGAATCAGAGGGCATATCACTAGCAATTCTGAGGGAAAAAAATTACTCAAGATGATTAAGACACACCATCAATGAATTCGGGCAAAGATCTCTGAAAAAAAGAACAGATGCTAAAAACCAAATGTCAAATGCAATGGTCAAGTCTAAATAACTGTTCTTGTAGTTGCAAACTTTAAAACAATTTTCAAGGAAAAGATGCATCATACATAGAAACAGAAAGTAGGAAGGTGGTTACTGGAAGGAGAGGGGATGAGAAGATGGAGGTCAAAGAGTCAGAAGTTTCCATTATGTAAGATAACTAAGCCTGGAGATACGATGTACAGTATGAGGACTACAGTTAATAATATCACATTATATACTGAAAATTTGCTAAGAGAGTAGATTTTAGGTATTTTTACCACAAAAAAAAAAGGAGAATAACTACGTAAGATAAATGATACACTAGTTTGCTTAACTCTAGTAATTATTTCCCCATGCATATCAAAACGTCATGGAATACATACCTTAAACATATACAACATAAAAAATAAAAAAATAAAATTAAAAAAAAACAAAAAAGTACCTTTTACTCAACTTTGAATATAAGGATACTTAAACATGATACTCTTAATCTTAAATGCAAAAGTCATTATTTTGTCTTTAGACAAAAAGGCAATACCAGCTTCCAATCCTGTTATCAAAGTTCTAAAATTATAACTATTTCAAGAAGAAAAGAAAGTTTAAGTATTAACAGAGAGGAAAAAAACAAAATAATTATTTGCATATAACTACCTTTCCACATAACCCAAAATTTTTAAAATTAGGATAATAAAAGTTTAAAGAATTGGCCGACCAGCACCAACACCAAGTCAGAAAACATTTTTAAAATTCAATTTATAATATAAAAAAATAAAAATAACCTCAATGGCATATGCATAATAACTGCACAGAGAAAAATACTGAAGAGCATAAATAAATAGTGTTTTGGGATGGGATGACTCTATATTATAAAGATACTAGTTGTCCTTAATTTATCTATACATTTAGTTAAATTTAAATAAAAACTCCAAAAAGAGTCGTAAATTTATAACAAATTTTGGAAAAATATTTATTTCTATTGAGCTTAAACTAAATTTACTAAGAAAACTAAACACATAAGAAAGCAAAGCTAATTTTTTTGGTGACTAACAAGAGATTTATCACATAGTGACTACCACATAGTAGGTGTTTATTATTTGCTATCTGCATAATTTACTGAAAACCACAATAATTAGAAAAGTATGATACAAATTCCAGGAAAAGATAGAAAAATCAATGAAACAGATCCGAGAGTAAAGGAACAGACCCATGTATATGAGAAAATTTAATGTATAACAAATGTGTCATTTCAAATTAGTGAGAAAAAATAATTCATTCAATATATAGCAAACAACTATATAAGACTTATGCAAAGTTTGATGCCTATTTCATACCATGCACAAATATATATTCCAGAAAAATTAAAGATAAAACATAAAAAATAAAACTGAACAAGCACTCAAGTAAGTACAGCTGCATATTTTTACGATTGTGGGGTGGGGAAGGCCTGTCAATAAATTATACCAAGAGCACTAATTCATGAAAAAATAATATGAGGGATTTTGATAGGTAAAAATATTTAAAACTTATCCATAGCAAATTATCAACGAAGTAAAAAACATCAAGCCGAGGGGGAGAAATCTGAACAGATTTATTAAAAAGTCTTAAATTATTATCCCAAAAGAAAAATGGAAAACAATATCAATAGTCAATTCACTAAAAAATACAAATGGTCAAAATAAATGTAAAAAAATTCCAATTCGGCTGGGCGCAGTGGCTCACGCCTGTAATCCCAGCACTGTGGGAGGCCAAGGTGGGCAGATCACGAGGTCAGGAGTTCAAGACCAGCCTGACCAATATGGTGAAACCCTGTCTCTACTAAAAACTAAAAATACAAAAATTAGCCAGGCGTGGTGGTGTGCTCCTGCAGTCCCAGCTACTTGGGAGGCTGAGGCAAGAGAATCACTTGAACCGAGGAGGCAGAGGTTGCAGTGAGCTGAGATCGTGCCACCGCACTCCAGCCTGGGTGACAGAGCAAGACTCCACCTCAAAATAAAAATAAAATTCCAATTCACCAGTAAACAAATGTATAAAAACAAAAGCAAAACTTAAAAACTCTGCCAATCACAACAGCATGAACTATAAGAACTAATCTTACTGTTGAAAATTATGTGATAAAAGAGATATTTTTAAGTATGATTTGCTCATTCTTTCTGTAGAGAAATCTGGCAATATGTACCTTGCTTTAAATGTCTATATCCTTTAAACAGGCAATTTCACTTTTAGTAATTCACCAACAAGAAAAATATGCAAAATGCATTGGGCATAGACAGTCAGCACAGTGCTATCTAACAAGGGAAAGGAAAAGCATATAAATGGTCATCTACTGACCAATAAATAAAGGAAAAGCCTATAAATATATTAAAAAAATTAACAGGTCATTAAAATGTATATATTTACTGGCATCCAACTATGTGTACATTATTAAGTTTAAAAAGCCAGGGCATATTCTACGAGTCTACTTTAAAACTCTGGGGGAAAATATCTGGAAAAATATATTCCAGAAATCTTACTACTTTCTAAACCTGCTTTCCCCCGGCAATTGAAGAGAAAAAAAAGAATATCAGTAATTACTGCAATAGAAAGATTGTCCAGAACGATGGGGAAACTGGTTCTAAAATATATACTGTTGCACAGTTTCATTGTTTTAAGAGTATATATACACTCTTTTAAAAAAATCCGTAAAGTACCCAAACTCTAGAATATACCTAACTCTGGAATATAAAAAATTTCAACAGTGGTTACCTCCAGAAGTGTACCATGCAGACTTTCCGGCATTGTTTAAATTTTCTCACAATAAGAAAATTTTTTTTACATTAAACACACCCACATTTAAGTTTTATATACTTAAGCTTTACATTCATTATGTCAATAAAAATATGATACATGTTTAATAATAATGAAAAGCAGAAAATTACTTCAGTAGTATAAAGACATGAAATATTAATTCAATTCTTCATGGCACAAAACAAAGCTAAAGGCACTTAATTTTTCACCTAATTCTGAAAATAAGAGGCATCTCCTTAAAACAGATACTCACCCCATATCTTTCGGCTACAATGTCCTCAAAGTTTCTACTTTGTTTCTCAGCTTGTTCCTTCATTCTTAGATAAGATTTCCTTAGCCAGCTTAATCCACCATCTTCTACCACTGAAACTAAATTCCAGTATTAAATATTAGTTATACTTTTAATGTGGTTATCATACAATTAATATGTATTGCTTCTATGACTTCTAAAATATAAAAATAAATATTTTTCTTTAAATATATAAGTGCCTTTGGAATTTTATATATATATATATATATATATATATATATATATATATATTTCAGTGCCTATATGTAAGCCACAGAGTTTTGCCACTAGAAAGAAGGAAAAGAAAAATAAAACTATAAGAAAATTGCAATCTAAGAGAATAAGAATAAAAGGACATAATTAATTACAATAAAAATAATGTGACCGCTACTATAAAAAGATATAATGGACTCTAGAAAGTAGGAGGTCAGGGAAAACTCCACAAACCAGGCTCAAGAAAATGAGTTGGGTTTCTATTTCAAACAGGCAAGGGTAGGGAGGACATTCCAAGAAATAATTAAGGAATAAAAGGACACACAGAGAAAGGGAGAGAAAAAAAGCTACCTCAGCTGCAGAACAAAGAACAAATAAGGAGGCTATGGAAGATAATGCCAAAGTGGATGTTAAAACAAATTATCTTACTTTAGTCATAATTACCAACCATGAACATTTGAAAGCCTTCAACTAATTTATTAAGCTGGCTTTATTTTCTTCTTTACACATCACGCTTTGGATATGTGTAAAGAGGAAATCAAATCAATTACTTAATAAAAATTCTGTTCCTGATTTTCCTTGCCCCAGAACATGACTGCTTTAAGATCGCCCCAGCTCCATAACCAACAAAAATGCACACACATTAACCCCAAGACATATACAAGAATATTCATAGCAGAACACTGCAATAATCCCAGCCTGGAAACAACCTAGGAAATGTCTACCATCAGTACACAGGACACCTACATTGTGATATATTCCTAAAATATACTATTTAATATTACACAGCAAAAAAAAAAAAAAAAAGAAAAAACTACAACTATATACAACAATATGGATGAATCTCAAAATGTGGGCAAAAGGAGCTGGAAACAAAGGAGGATAAACTGATTTCTGGTGCTAGAAAACAGAATAATGGTTACCCTTCTGGTGACAAGGTAGTGACTAGAAGGGTCACAAAGGGGGCTTCTGGGATACTAACAAGATTTTTCAAACTGTGTGCTGAGTACACAAACGTTTTCATTTTATGAAAATGATCAGTCTGCTGCTGTACACTTGTGGTTTGTGTATTTATGTACATATATAATATATATGTAAGCTATTGTAGGAAGGTTTTTATATTCATAGTAAATATTCACTAAATATTTTTGAATATTTTTATATATGTCACATTTCAATAAAAAGTTTACTTAAAAACAGATTTTTCAAGGCTCAAATTAATTCCATTCTCCCATTCAGATCTCAAAAGTTTATCTTTACTAAGCAATCTCTCCTAATACGACTTTTCTTTATAGGCCTAAAATATTTTGTACTTCAAAACCTAGATCTCTAATGCAATGATTTCACATTTTATTCAAAAGCTTATTTTACTCTTGCTTTTTTGTTGTTATTTATATAGTTCATGAGTTCAAAATTAACTATGCAACCACTTGAGGAAGTTAGTCTAAATCCGCAATCTACACAGCGGTAAGTAAAAGAAATCCACAGTAATAAATACCTATATGAATGTCTCAGCTACAAAATTGTTTCTTCCATAAAATTATCTGTGAAACTGATAAAATGCTGATGGACATAGTAAAAATTTCCTGAACAATCACTAAAACATAATAGCTCAGAAAAAAAAAATCAGAGAAAAAAGTAAGACTATTCCTCTATGTTAACATTTATGAAGGAAATCCAATGGGAGTAAAAATTTTCAGCCAATTCCTTCACTAGTTAAATCCATACAATTTTAGAAATATTTATATAATGATTTCACCTTTAGTTGATAATATGTTCTATCTCAATAGTCCTATTAATCTTATAATTAGAGATGGCAATAATGAAGTCTTTTTGGTAAGAAAAAAATCACCAAATTTAATATTTAAAAAGCGAATAAAAAATACCAACTTGCAGTACCATCCCAAAATTCAATAAAAAAAAATTTAGTCAATATTTATTATGAATATAAAAACCTTCCTACAATAGGAAGTACAAACATGAATGTACAAGGCCAGGTGCAGCGGCTCACGCCTGTAATCCCAGCACTTTGGGAGGCCAAGGTGGGCAGATCAGGAGGTCAAGAGATCAAGACCAGCCTGGCCAACATGGTGAAACCCTGTCTCTACTAAAAATACAAAAATTAGCTGGGTGTGGTGGCATGCACCTGTAGTCCCAGCTACTCGGGAGGCTGAGGCAGGAGAATCGCTTGAACCCAGGAGGCAGAGGCTGCAGTGAGCCGAGATTGCACCACTGCACTCCAGCCTTGTGACAGAGCGAGACTCCACACGCCCCCCGACCCAAAAAAAAAAAAAACAAACCCATGAATGTACAATAGGAAGTACAAACATGAATGTAGCATGGTTCAGGTCCTCTATGCTGAGAAAAAGATATATCAAATAATTATATAAATTCACTGATATGTGGCACTTAACATACACCTAGATTTCAAATCTGTTATTTATAAGTAAAAAATGAAGAAACTTCCATCATATGCTTCCATCATAACTCAAAGTTACACTGTTATAGACCAAATATTAATACAACCAAATGAATCTGGGCTATATTACCCAACTCTCTCAGAAAACAGACTAACATAAAAATAGTGATAAACTATCAGGAAACCTAGATTTTAGTCTTGCTGCTACTATTAAATATATGTAAAATCTTATGTATGTCATTAACTTCTTTGGACCTTTGCTCCTTCATCTCTAAGATAAGGCAGCCAATTTAAACCACCTTTCAAAGTCTTTTCAACTCACATTCTAGCAGAAAAAGCCAAAAAATAAAAAGGGGGAAGAAATCAATAGGAAGAACAAAATCACATCAAAGGAGTCTGTAAGCAAGAATTCCTACTAACTACATGGTAATAAAAATAGTCTTCCACTAAAGAATCTAGAGTAACTAATGCTGGACTAGGAATCAGAAGACCTGGGTTCTAGTACTACTAACACGACTACCAGAAAAATTACCTGGCCACTCTAAGCCTTGGTTTATTGAGCTATAATATTAAAATACTATCTACACTGCTGTCCTTTACATGGTTGCCAAGAAAAAAGCTGATATATAACTGTGCCATATAAACTCTAAAATTGTACAAATATTCCCATTACTAAAATATGACAAAATAATTTTGTATGGGCTCTGAAAATGATTAACCTACTTTTCCACTGAATTCTAAGACAAAAAATCAAGATTAACACAGTAATTATTGAAAATATGTCCCTTCAATCATTACAAAAACCTGTTGATAAAACCTTCCCAAAAGATTTAATCATACAAGTATCTGACATTACCATCATTATTGAGTAGTCACCATAATCCAGACACTGCTAAAACATTTTCTAATTTAATCTTCACATTAACTATATAAGATAGGTAATATCATTATTCCCTATTACATATGAATAAATTGGGCTCTGAGAGGCCAGAAAATGTCTCCACAATTATGAAGCTAATTAGTGGAAATGCCAACATTCTAATCCCAAGTAGACTGACTCCAAAGTCTAGTCCTTTAACAATAACACTATGTCACCTCTACCTCCTTAATACAGATATTGTAATACTTTTAGATGCCTAACAGTTCCACCCCTACCATCGGTCTAAATAGAATGACAACACTATCTACATATGCAGTAAAACCTGCCAATCATTTTTTAAAACTTAATTTCAACTCTGGGATCTTAGCCTCAGAAAGACAGAAGCTTTCTGTCATTTTTTCTCTTTCTGAATAAACATAAGATGGAAAAGAAGTGGTAAAAGCATGACATGAAGGGGAAGGGAGAAGGGCACTCTAAAAGCATAATTTTCTCCTAGTATCTTTGATTCTGCTGTTTCAGTCTGCTAAAAGATACCACCTAAAGTAAAACTCTGGATCTTCTCCACTCAGTAAAGAACCTGTCAACTGGCAAGATCCAAAGATTGGGTTTGTCAATTCTAGGTTTTCCTCAAAGAAATTTATGGACCATCCTCTGACATTAGGGATGGCAAAAGCCTAGATCATAAAAACAGCCCTACATAGTAATAGTTGAGTGAGCTAACTTATTGTTCCCTAAACTATCTATGAAACAGTATTTCAAAGAGAACCTTGTATGACTATAGTTACTATTACATAACTCAGCAGGGACACTTCTGCCTGAAGTTGAAAGAAAAAAAAAGAAACTGTTAACTATTACCAATAACTTTAGTAAAATTGCTAAATTAAGAAGGGACATGTAAGGTGGCTCTACTGTCATCTCTACATAAAATACAGAAGAATTTTAACAAATAACCAAAATAAAAATACATTATGTATAAAAAGCAGGAAAACATCCTACTGATAAATCACTAAGGTGAAAAGAGAACATCACAATTTGTAATACTACCATCTGTATAATGGGTTAGTTGTAATAAACTTTTGAGGTGTCAGCACAACACTTAATGGGAATATAAGTAATTTTAAAATTGTGTTATAAAGTATGCTTACGTGACATTTAAATATTTTGTCTCCATCTGCTGGAAAATAATAGCACTCTCCTAAGGTCAATACAAATTTTAAGAATTCTAGAAAAGCAGGAAATTCTGAATATACAAACCACATCTTTAGTTTTTATACATTATTTTCATGAAATTTCAGATACTTTTTATATTTTGTTACAGAATGTAACAAACCAAATGCATTATTATGTACTCATAGAATCATACTTTGTATTAATCCAGTTTAAGTAGAAACTCATATATGAGAATATTTTCAAGTATAAAACTATGTATTTAATTAACCTGCTCCAAATACATCATAATTAAAACAATCTTCCATAGTACTAATAATTTAAATTAGCCTTCCAAAGACTGCAAATTTTTATCAATGCTTTCTCATACGTAAACTTGGGTCATACACTTATAATACCAAAAGAAATGCCTGAGGCCAGGCGCAGTAGCTCACACCTGTAATCCTTGCACTTTGGCAGGACAAGGCAGTTAGGTCAAGGCTTAAGCCCAGGAGTTCAAGACTAGGCTGGGCAACATGGTGAAACCACATCTCTATAAAAAATTATCTGGGAGTGGTGACATGCACCTGTAATCCCAACTACTTGGGAGGCTGAGGTGGGAGGATCACTTGAGGGGGAGGTGGAGGCTGCAGTGAGCCATGATCGCACCACTGCACTCCCTGGCTGACAGAGCGAGACTCTGTCTCGAAAAAAAAAAAAAAAAAAAAACCCTGTGTGTCTATAATCAAAATGTAGAAATACCTTTAGTAATCGATGACACACTACAGTCTTCAGGTGGAAGACCTGTCCCACCATCCTTCCAGTACGGATTCAATTCTCTTTCCATCAGTTTGGACTAGAACAAATTATTTTCAGAGGTGAAATTTCAAAAAATTAACAAATTATAAAAAATTAACAAATAATAAATCTGAGACCCAGTTAATAGTCATAACCCTGGACAAATCATTTAAAACATTCTTAAGATATGCTGTTCTGTAACTTACAGGAAATGTCTAAATTCACATTCATTCAATGTTCTTATTTAATGCCTACTATATCTTAAAACTGTGCTAGTTGCAGAAGATTTAACTGTCAAAAATCCTGGTCAGCCCTTGCTAACTTTTAGTTCAGTATGGAACACAGACAATAAAAACAGACATGTACTTTGAAGACAGAAGTATACAGTACTGAGGATGCAAAAAGAATTCAAATCCCTCTCACAATAAAGGATCAAAGACTTCCTAGAGGAAGTAATATGTGCAGTCCAAGGATGAGCATAAATTAACCGCATTTTCTTTTTTTGTAGGGTAGGGAGTATAAAGATGTTCCAGGTAGAAAGAATAACAGCACGTTCTTAAAACAACAGAGAAAGAGAAAGTGCAGCAGTTTCAGGAAACTTAGAAATAATTCTAATTGGCTAAAACTGTGAGTGACTAATGACAAGAGATTATGTTGTAGAATAATCAGGGACTGGGCCACGTGAGCCATTTTGAACTGCTATGAGGGTTTCATGCTGGGGCCAAAAGAGACTCATGAATGTGATCAGCTTCATATCACACAAAGAGCAAACTGGGCTCAGCATGGAGGAAAGTCTGGAGAACAAGATCAGAGGCACAAGTTCAGTCAGAAGGCTGTGGCAGTAATCCAGGCAACAGATGATAGTAGCCTAATCACAATGCAAGTGTCTCCTGTGTTCTAAGCACGATGCCAGGCACTGGGACTGTAATGTGTGACGCGGCCATGGTCCTTGCCATTAAATAAATTATGGTCTAGAGAAGGGGGAAAGACAATCAAGCAATATAAATATAGGTATGTGAGATCAAAGTAAAGGGTGCTAAAGAACTACATACTAATGATACCGAAGTTGACCCTGGGAGTGGGGGGTTAGAAAATGCTTCCTACAAGAAGTAATAATGGCAAGAGGATGGCAAGAAATGGAACGAGCTAAATGTTAGGAACTTTAGTTTCCAGGAATACAATATACTACTGAAAATTAAAATGCTCTGTAAAATTTGTTTTTAAAAGGGCTTTTTTAAATGTATCCATGAGCTGACGAAAAAGAACCTTCAAAGGACAAAATTTAAGTTAAAGTTTAACCTAAAGGGATATACAAAACCATACAGATTTGATTTCTTAGTTTGTATCAAAAAAGGTTCTGTCACCTCCCTTGTTAGTTTACCACAAAATCTTTCAATATCTATAGTCAAGGAATTTCTTCCAATGGTCTTAAGACTCTCAAAAATATACACATAAGATACTCAACAGGACAAAAAAGGCTAGAATTGCATACTGAGGACAATTGACAAGAGGCTAGACAAATTATGAGATACTATCTGAAAATGTATAAAAGACAAAGGATTGAAAACATAAATAACTTCTATAAATCAGTTAGAAAAAGACAAACAACCCTGGTAGAAAAGTAAGCAAAAAACATAAATGAGCAGCTCCCAGTACAAGAAATCTGAATGACCAAAAAACATGAAAAGACCTCTCTGGTAGCAATCAGATAAATGCGAACAAAAACAATGAAATACCATTTCTCACCCATTTATTAGGCTGATAAAAAAATATATAAAGTTTGACAATTACAGATACTGAGTACTGGAAAAGAAACATATGCTCCTGGTACAGTATAAATTGGAATTCCAGATTACCAGGATTGTGTGATGCCCCTAGGAAAGTCATCAGCTTCAGCACTTCCTTACTTCTCTGGATTCATGCTTTTGCCTCATTTTTTGGTCTCTACAGATTTCCTATTGCTTCCTTACTAGCAAAGTGACAACAATAAAGTATAAAATAAGCATGCTTATTTTACATTATATCCACCAGAATTTCTAGATGTCTTGAAATGGAAGTATTTTCATGGTGTCTAATTCAGTATGTACACTGAAACAAAAATTGAGTGAGTTCACTTTCAATTTAATGATATTAAACTCAATATTCACTCAACTTTATATATGCCCTAGATTTATAAATCTAGTAAACCTTTAAACTCACTTCCTATAGGAAATTTATTTTTCTTAAACTGATGTATTTCATAGTTGTTCTCACTAATTGTATTAAATACTATAAAAAATAAAATGGTATTTTACAAGTTAAACTGCATTTATATAAATGTCTTGTAAGTTTATTAAAGGTAAATTAGAAAGTTAAAGCATTTCAAATATTCTCTTACCTGTTCAAGCGCTTGGTTTTTCTCTTGCTCTATTTTCCTCATAGTTTCCTTTTCAGCTTTGAGTGATGATGATGACACAGTTTTAACAGACATAAAATCAACAGTCATCCACTCATCCCTCTGTTAAAAAAAAAGACATAAAATCAACAGTCATCCACTCATCATTTCAATCTGAACTGATTAGAATTTAATAAACACTTGGTAATAAGAGCAGGGACTTTGGAGGCAATCAAACCTGAAACAAGTCCTACATGGCTATATAACTTGAAGCAAGCTTCTAAATCTCTCTATACTTTAGTCTCTCCTCTATAAAATGGTATAAAATCCCTACCTTTCAGGATTGTTTTAAAGAGTAAACAAGATAACAGATCTAAAGCATCCAGCCCAAAGCCTGGCACACAACAAGCAATCAAACTTAGTTCCTGTTCACCTTTCTTCCTTCACCTGTGGCTAACAGTGGACAAATTACATTCTTCCTGAGGCAGATGAACTATAGCCCAAAATTTTTGAACTATTCAACTGTTAAGTATTGTTAAGAAAATTAAGGCATGAGGTGAAGGGAAAAAAAACTGTGATGGAACTCCACTCACTATAGAAGGGTCAGACAGAGATACAGTATAAGGCTTTAGGGACATAAGGGGAAAGTGCCACTTCTTATCAACAATCAAAAGCATGAAAGCCTCTAAGGAACGAGAATAGAGAGGAACACTCACTTTCTCACAGTAGAAGGGGAAGGGGGTTCTAAACATTCAGCAAACAGCAGTACTGCCAAAATTATTCCTAAAGTATATTGTTTTCAAAGTCTAATTGTTCTCCTGAAGAAATTTTAATCATCTTTCATTTTCATATTCATTTATTCTCAAAAGTTGATACTTTTTTCTTTAAAACCAAGTGATAGGCCAGGTGCAGTGGCTCACGTCTCTAATTCTAGCACTTTGGGAGGCTGAGGTGGAAGGATTGCTCAAGCTCAGGAGTTTGAGACCCAGTCTAGGCAACATAGGGAGACCCCAACTCTACACAAAATAAAAAAATTAGCCAGGCGTGGTGGGCACACAACTGTGGTCCCAGCTACCAGGGAGGTCGAGGTGGGAGGATTACTCGAGCTTGGGAGGTCGAGGGTGCAGAGAGCTCTGATTGTGCCACTGCGGCCCAGCCTGGGCAACAGAGTGAGACCCTGTCTCTAAAATGAATGAAAGAGAGAAAGAGAGAGAGAGAGAGAAAGAGAAAGAAAGAAAGGAAGGAAGGAAGGAAGGAAGGAAGGAAGGAAGGAAGGAAGGAAGGAAGGAAGGAAGGGAGGGAGGGAGGGAGGGAGGGAGGGGGAGGGAGGGAGAGAGGGACAGAGAGGGAGGGAGGGATAGAGAGGGAAGGAGGGAGGGAGGGAGGAAGGAAGGAAGGAAGGAAGAAAGCAAGGAAGGAAAATCAAGTGGCTTGCTTACCTTGATAATTTGGGTGTCATCTTTTCCTGACTTTTCATCTTTCACTTTCCAGGCTTTTTCCTTGTCAGGAGTCTGGGATGGAACAGCCTCAACCCACTCATCTTCAGAGCTCTAAGAACATTTAGCATATAAGTGAAATTGTCAAATTTGCATACTTTGATATAAAAATTCTGTGCTGTTAAGTGGTAGAAATTCAACATCGTAGAAAAAAATTCTTACACTGTATTTCCCCTTTACAAAATGGCAATGAAATTTTAAAGAGCTGGGTGTGGTGGCTCACACCTGTAATCTCAGCACTTTGGGAGGCTGAGGCAGGCATATTACTTGAGGTCAGGAGTACAAGACCAGCCTGGCAAACATGGTGAAACACCATCTCTACTAAAAATACAAAAAAGTTAGCCAAGCGTGGTGGCGCATGCCTGTAATCCCAGCTGCTCAGGAGGCTAAGGCAGGAGAATCGCTTGTACCCAGGAGGCAGAGGTTGCAGTGAGCTAAGATCACACCACTGCACTCCAACCTGGGCCACAGAGACTCCGTCTCAAAAAAAAAAATTTTTTTAAAGAAAAAACATATAAACCCACTAGTTTGAGTTAAGCCCACCAAACACAACCAAATTATTTTTATTTTCTCATCCATTTATTATCAAGCCAAGAGAAGGCAAAAAAACAAAAATGGGAACTGCCAAGTAGAGACCTCACTTCAGCACAGAGCTTCAGTGACTACCAACGTCAAGTAGTTACTCACATCTCTGCTTCACTAGAACAGGGGAAACACCACCCAGGTAAACGAATTTGCTGTTTGCCCCTAAGTTTCACATTTTGAGATTTCCCTTGATCTAAAACTGCAGATAACATTATCTTCTTCAACACCCTCCTGAAGCTTTATACCAATTCCCATATTCTCAGCAAATGATGTCTTCTTTTACCTCATCAAGAAAACTAGGGCCACCTTATCCTCCTACCCACCGCCCAAAACATTTATGGCTGTGCCTATCCTTATTTCCAGTTAACTCCTCCTATTTAAGGCAGATCTTGCTCTAAAGATTTTGATAACTCTTTCTGTTCCTCCAGGACCTTGCTCCATCAATTATCTTCTCCTCTCACGGCATTAACCAAAGATCCCTAATGGCCTAGAAACAATTTCAAGCATTTCCCACCCTTTTTTTTTTTTTTTTAAGGAGGGAAGGGGGACCTTCCTTGACCCCGTATATTCCTCCTCTAGCAGGAATTAATCTTCCGGCTTCCATTCTCAGATGAACTTCTTGAAAGAGTAGTCTACATGCACCGCCTTCACACTCTCACTTTCATACATTTTCTCAAAACTCTACAATACATCTACTGTCCCCATTAATCTACTGAAACTTCTCCAAACTCACCAGTGGCTTCCACTGTGCCGAACTCAACAAAACGTTTCAGTCTTCAGCTCTCTAGACCTCTCTGCTTAATGCAACTCTGTTGATAACTCACTTTCCTGGCTTCCATGACACCTCTCAGCTCTCCTCCCACTCTGTTTCTTCTCCATTTCCTTCATGAACTCTTCCTCCTTTGCTTAGCCCTTAAATATCTTGTTATTTGGGATTCCATTCTTTGCCCATGACATTTTTCAATGTCTAAACATTCCCTTTGGGCCATTAAATCCATTCTGATCGCCTGAACTACAATAAATTGTGCTGATATCTTTCAAATTTGTCTAACCAAAGTTTCACTGACTAATTGTCTACTGCAGTTGGATGGCATGCTAAACTCAGTAAGAACAGAAGATAAAGCTATCCTCTTCTTCTACAAAATCTACTTCTCCTTGTATAGTATTGAACTGAGTTATCTGGAACAACCAACCACCCACTTAAACCAAGTCAGAAACTCAGGATGATGTTACCTCACATATTCAAGCCTACCATTTTCATTTTTAAAATATTTATTAAATATACCATAGAGTGAATACATGATTACCATACGAGCCTACCTCTATCCCTGGCCACTACTGATTAGTTCAAACGTAGGTACCTGACCCAATTCACATCAACCTGAGCCATTCCACAGGAATCTGAAATCAGGTCTAAATGGGCTTATCTAAAACTAAGAAATGGGAAGGCATTGGGAGAGGCCATTTCTGTCATGAGAAATAGAAATCAGCAAAAATTTTTTAAAAACTAGAACTCAGGGTAGGGGAAATGAAAAATGGCAAGAAAATTGCAAAAACCATTCACAATTCTAATTCCAGCTATTCTTGAAGCCTAGCTGCATTCCTACATCTATATGTCTTATGAGAATTTTGTACTTTAATAATAAATCCTTTTTGCAAAATCCAATTTATATTTAGTTTCTGTTACCTGCAACCAAAATACCAACTAATATTCTCTTCTTTGATCCTTAAAGTAGCACCCCAGGCTGGGCGCGGTGGCTCACGCCTGTAATCCCAACACTTTGGGAGGCCGAGGCGGGTGGATCATGAGGTCAGGAGTTCGAGACCAGCCTGGCCAAGATGGTGAAACCCCATCTCTACTAAAAATACAAAAATTAGCCAGATGTGGTGGCGCATGCCTGTACTCCCACCTACTTGAGAGGCTGAGGAAGGAGAGTATCTTGAACCCGGGAGGCGGGGGTTGTGGTGAGCCAAGATCGTGCCATTGCACTCCAGCCTGGGGGACAAGAGCAAAACTCCGCCTTAAAAAAAAAAAAAAAGTAGTAGCCCTAGATCAGATCTTATCTCTCACCTAAACAACTGATTCCAGGAGACCTAATTAATCTCCTGGACTCATCTTTCCTGCTCCCCTTCTTTCTCCAACCCCTCACCCCAAATACATTTAGAGTAATATAAAGGGAACATCTGACCACCGTACTTCTCTTCTAGGGCTTCCCATTACAAAGACTGCTAGTTATCCCTCTTCTTTCCTACCAACAGAATCCCATTTTATTTGGAGAAGTAATGTACTTCCCATGCTAGAAAGTGAAGCCTTATGATCAAGTGTCCAATTAGATGTAAACAAAAGTATTTTATGGGACTTTCTGGAAGTCAAGTTAAGAAAAAAAAGAGCATCTTCTTTCCTGTTATCTGGACTAAGAGGCAATGCTGTAAGGATGATGGAAAAGCAAGACAATAGAAGCCTAGGTCCCAGAAGACCATACTAGCCCTAGACTGTCTACCTGACTTATTTCATATCAGAAAAAAATGAATTTCTATCTTGTATAATCAATGGCTATTCTGAGATTTTCTAATAAATGCAGCTGAACCCAATTAGATGATACATTCCCTACTGAATAAAGTCAAAGCTCTTGGTTTACAAGGCCCTATTAATTCTTACAGTTTCATCTCCATTCACCCCCTCCTCTTGTTTTATAATTTAGTACTATCAAATTGCTTATAGTTATATTTACATACATACACACATACTCACACTCATATTATCTCATACTTCCATGTCTCTGCTCTCGCAATTCCTTATGCATGAAATGCCAAGCACACCTTTATTTGCCTAATGCTTACTAATCTATCTAGTCTCAATTCAAGCATCATTTAATCAACAAGTTAGCAAATGAAATCCCTCTTAATACCCTGTACTACCATGGCATCATGTTGGATGGTATGCTAAACTCAGTAACAACAGAAAATAAAGCCAACATCTTCTTCTACAAAATCTACTACAAAATCATATTATTAATATTATGTATCTATTTATCCAATTAGGAAATGAGTTCCCCAAAGGTTTAAAAATATATTTTTATATTCCCCATGTCTAGAACAGTGTCTGGCAAAGAATAAGCATTTGATAAATGCAAGCTGAAATTAAATGAAATGTCTTTTTCTACTCTTTCAATAGCACTAGTCAGAAACTTTTAAGCAGCAACCTATACTCATTTTCACAATTATGCACTCACTCACCTTACCACTTCAGCAAAATTGATGCTCCCCATGCTACGACTTCAGTTCTCTTGCTAATTTTAGTTTCAATCTCCATTTTACCTTGAACTCATTAACTATCAAGCTTAATACGCCTCCTGACCTAACACAGCCTTCAGGGCTCTCCTTCTCTTGTGCAGCCTGCAGAATTAACCACACCTCTAATTCTATCTAGTGGTCAAAACCTAGAAGGTGGAACTAAGACAGAAAAGTGCTACCAGCAAAACTCAAGGGATCTTGAGGACTTCTGCTTCTGTCCTTGACAAAATAAATGGCATCAAACTAGAAATACATACAAATTGGAATAAAAATGAAACTACAATCTCTACAGCTTTTTATCTAAAGGCACTTTCTAGACTGTGGCATAGAGGGGTAACCCAAGCAGAACATGAAAATCTCACTGAGCAAAGGAAACGGAATTTGAACTTTGTGAAGGCTGAAACAAAAGTACAGATGGGAAGTTACACAGAGAAAGGGTGCCAGAAATCTACTTAAAGGACCCCTGGAGTCTTTAAAGAAAGACCAAGCTGAACATGCTGAGGATGAGAGTCCACAAGGTCAGGCAAAGAAAAATTACCATGGAGAAAACAATTACCAAAGAGCTGTAAGCAGAACAATCCCCAGAGCTCACAAAGGGCTGGAAGACATTCTAGTTCCTCCCAACCAGAATAAAGAAACCTCGCTGAACATCCATGACAATCAGCAGAGAACCCACAAAGGTCATGCCTTAGTAGAAAGGCTAAACCAGTCCTAGAGTAAAGCTATTCTAGGTGCATACGAACAAAACTTAAAAACAATCCTTGAAAAGGATTAAGCTAATTCACAAGTAATTAACTGTATGCCAAAAGGAAACTCAATACTCTCTGAAGAAGTCAACAAAATCCAGCAGTCACAATATAAGTTTCATAGGGTTCAGCATCCAATTAAAAGTTACTAGACATTCAAAGAAGCAAGCAAATGTGACCCATATTCAAGAGAAAAATCATTTAATTGAAACAGAACAGGAAAAAACAAGAGAAAATGAAACAGCAAACCAAGACTTTAACACAGCTATCATAAATATGTTCAAGGAAGGGAAAATGTAAAGATAATGAGGAGATAAACTGAAAAACATTAGAAAGATCCAAACGAAACATCTAATGATAAAAAAAAAATACAGTACCTGAAATGAAAATGTCACTGGATAGGGATAACAGTAAGCTAGACACAGCAAAAGAAAAGGCCAGTCGGCCAGGCGCAGTGGCTCACACCTGTAATCCCAGCACTTTGGGAGGCTGAGGCAGGCAGATCACGAGGTCAGGAGATCCAGACCATCCTGGCCAACATGGTGAAACCCCATCTCCACTAAAAATACAAACAATTAGCTGGACGTGGTGATGAGCACCTGTAATCCCAACTACTCAGGAGGCTGAGGGACGAGAATCACTTCAACCCAGGAGGCGGAGGTTGCAGTGAGCTGAGATCACGCCACTGCACTCCCGCCTGGCAACAGAGCGAGACTCCGTCACAAAAAAAAAAAAAAAAAAAAAAAAAGGCCAGTAAACCTGAAGCTCACGACATAGCAATAAAATATACCCAACCCAAGGCATAGAAAGGAAAAAGGCTAGAAAGTAAGTGAACACAGGCTCATCAACCTGTGAGACATTATTTTAAGGAGACTACCAAAATGAGAGGGAACAGAAAAAAAAAATACTTCGAAAAAAGCCTGAAAGTTTCATATTTGATGGAAACTGTAAACTCACAAATCAAAGCAGCACAATGAACCTAAGGCAGATGCTACACTCTGAATGTTTGTGTCCCCCACCAAATTCTTATGTTGAGATCCTGACTCCCAAGACAATGATAATAGGGGCTGAGGCCTTTGGGAGATGACTGGGAATGGGATTAGTGCCCTTATAAAACATAGCCCAAGAGCACTCCCTTCTGCCATATGAGGTTAGAGTGAGAAGACAGCCATCTCTGAGGAACTGAACCCTCATCAGACACAAAGTCTACCAGCGCCTCGATCTTAGACTTTCTAGCCTCCCAAACTGTGAGAAATAAGTTTCTGTCATTTATAATCCACCCAGTTAGTTTTGGTATAGCAGCCCAAATGAACTAAGACAGTAGAATAAACACAAAGAAATCAATACCAAGACATATCACAATTGATTCACTGAAAAATAATGATGAAAAAAAAAGCCCTAAAAGCATCCAGAATAAAAAGGCACACTACATACAGAGAAAAAATATTACAATGACTACAGAGTTCTCAATATGTACAATGCAAACCAGAAGACAATGGGATGACATTTTACAGTGCAAAAAAAAAAAAAAAAAGAAAACACTATAAACTTAAAATTCTTTATCTAGCCAAGTATCTGAAAAATGAAGATTGCTAGTAGGAACTTCTGAGTTTGTGGTAAAAGAAAAAAAGAATGAAGATGAAATAAAAGAAATTTTCAAACAAAAGCTGAGAGAATACAATGTCTGCAAATCCATATTATAATACATGTTAATGAAAGTTCTACAGACAAAAGGAAAATGGTATTAGACAGAAATTCAGACCTACATAAAATAATAAAGAATATCAGAGATGATAAATCTGTGGGTAAATATAAAAGACTTTCTTCATATGTGTAACTTATTTAAAAGATAACTGACTAAAGTATAAATAAAAAGAATGTATGACATTAAAAATTATAAACAATGTGGGTTTATAACATATGTAGAAGTAAAATATATGACAACAATAGCAAAAAATATGGTAGGAGAAAATGGAAGTATATTTTGGTGAAAGTCTAATTATAAAAGTAAAATTATATATTATTTGAGAGTATGGTAAGTTAAAATATGCATAAGACTTAAAGCAGTCATTAAAAATAAATAAGGTATACCTAATAAGCCTACAGCAGATGAAATGGGATGCTAAAAAACACTCGATCCAAAAGACAGGAAAAGGAAGGAACAAAGGAAAAAAGAACAAAGAAAAAATAGAAAAGGAATAACAACATGGTAGACTTAAACTCATCCATATCAATTATTACATTAAACATAAATAATCCAAACCAGTACTATTCAAAGAATTTTTCTATATACTGTCGAATATAGTAGCCACATAAATTTGGCTGATATAATTTTAATGAATTTTAACAAAAAATTTAAAAGCCATAAACAGCTAACAGATTAGAGAGCACAAAAAACATCTAATTGAAAAGTAAGAGACGTGAGCCAAGATTGCGGCACTGCACTCCAGCCTGGGTGACAGTGTGAGACTCCATCTCAAGAAAAAAAAAAAAAAGGAAGAGGCCAGATGCAGTGGCTCACATTTGTAATTCCAGCACTTTGGGAGTCCCAGGTGGGAGGATTGCTTAAGGTCAAGACTTTGAGACCAGGCTGGGCAACATGGCAAAACCACATCTCTACAAAATATATATAGATCATAGGCTAGAATATAAAATGTCTCAAAAACTTTTTAACAACTGAAATTATACAGAGTACAATAAAATAATAATTAAATCCAAAGTCAATAACCAAAAAAACCTAATAAAATCCACAAATATCTGGAAATTTAAAAACTCATATATATATATCCTGGACGTCGAAGTGCACACCCGTAGTCCCAGCTTTCAAGAGGCTGAGGTGGGAGAGTCACTTGAGCCCCAGGGGTTGAAGCTGCAGTGATCTACTACACTCTAGCCTGGGCAACAAAGCAAGACTCTGTCAATCAATCAATAAATCAATCAATCAATAAAATAAAAAAGAAGAAATTGATAGGCGAGATAAAAAAGCAAGACCCAATTATACACTGCTTACAAGAAATACACTTTCAATATATAAAAAAGGTACATTAAAACTAAAAGAATTTTAAAAAGACGATGAAAACACACAAAAAAAGAAAACTGAAGAGGCTTTATTAATATGAGATACAAGAGACTTCAGACAAGAGTATTACCAAAGATAAAAACGAAAACTTCGTAACAACAGTCAGTTCATCAAGGAGCTGTCTATGTACCTAATAAAGCTTCAAAATTACATAAGGCAAAAACTGACAAAACTGAAAGCAGAAATAGGTAAAATCCACAAAACAATTAAGAGATTTCAATACTATTTTCTCAGTAACTGACTGAACAGGTGAACAGAAAATCATTAACACTAAACTTAATACTATTAGTCAACTTTCCCTAATTGACATTTATAAAACACTATACCTAACAATGGCAGAATACATACTCATTTCAAATACATATGGAATTTTCACCAAAATAGATCATAGGCTAGAAAATAAAATGTCTCAAAAACTTTTTAAAAACTGAAATTATACAGAGTATAACATAATAATTAAAATCAAAGTCAATAACCCAAAAAAAAACTAGAAAAATCCACAAATATCTGCAAGTTTAAAAACTCTTATATATCCATGAGTAAGAAAAAGTAAAGTAAAAAATATTTTGAATGGGACAGCAATGAAAATATAACATCAAAGTTACGTAGAGATACAACAGTGCTATGAGAAAATTTTATAAAATAAATACACGTTAGAAAAGATTTCAAATCAGTGGCGATACATTCATCTTAGAAAGTTAGAAAAAGAAGAGCAAATTAAACACAAAGTATTCGCAAAGAATAAATATAGTTTAAATCAATGAAATAGAAAACACACAACCAGAGAAAATTCAAGGAAACTAAAAGGCAATAAAGAAAGATTAATAAAACTGATAAGCCTCAAGACAGACTGACAGAGGAAACAAACAGAAAATAGAAATTACCAAAATCAGGGATGAAAGAGGGGTATCACTATGGATTCCGTAAACATTAAAAGAACAAAGGAAATATTACAAATAACTTTATGACAATAAATTTGACAATTTCTATGGAATAAATTCCCAGAAAAACCGAAATTACTAAAACTAACTCAAGAATAAACAGAAAGTATTTAACACAACTATTAAAGGAATTAACTCTGTCGTTAAACCCATTCCACAAAGAAACTCCAGGACCAAACCGTTTCACTGGCAAATTTTAACACTTATAGATGCAAAAAAAGCACTTACCAAATTCAATACTCATTCAAGATACAAACTCTCAGAAAACTAGAAATAAAATGTCATTTCCTTAATCTGAAAAGGCATACATGAAAGTCCCACAGCAGACATCATGCTTAAATGTAAAAACCTGAATGCTTTGCACCTAAGATAAGGAAAAAGGCAATCATGTCCACTCTCACCACTTCCATTCAACACTATTTTTAAGTCCTAGCTACTGAAATAAGGCAACAACAATTAACAAATAAAACAGGCACAGAGACTGAAAAGAAAAAAGTAAAAGTCTTTTTCACACATGACATACCATTTACCTAGAAATCCTAAGAAATCTACTAAAAAAGCTACTAACACTAGTATTAGTAATTTTAACATGGTGATAAGAGGCAAGGTGAATATATCAAAAGCAGGTTTTTTTTCACTTTTTTCTTTTTTTTCTGATCCTAATGTTTCAAGTCACTTCTATAATTACATACTAGCTGTAAACACATTTAATTTAAAATTCCACTCACGATAGCACTTCCAGAAAACAAAATGGAAAAAAAATAACAAACGACATGTAAGATCTCTACACTAAAAATTTCAGAACATTGTGAGAAAAATCAAAGACATAAATGGATAGAGAGATGTACCAAGTGCATAATGGATTGAAAGAATATTTTAACATATCTATCTCCCTAAATTCCTTCCAATAGGGAAAATTCAGCCTTTTCAACAAATGATGCTAGAAAAACTGGAAATCCACGTGGGAAAAAAATAAACTGACACTACACAACATAAATAAAAATTATTAATGGATTATAAATAAGCAAAAAAGCCAAAGCTATAAAACTTCTAGGGAAAAAAAATAGGAGGCCAAGCATGGTGGCTCACACCCGTAATCCCAGCACTTTGGAAGGCTGAGGCAGGAGATCACTAGAGCCCAGGAGTTCGAGACCAGCCTCGACAATATAGTAAGACTCCATGTCTACAAAAACAACTTTTCTGTACTACATCTGTAGTCATAGCTAATTGGGCTGCTAAGGCAGCAGGATTGCTTGAGCCCAGGAGTTTGAGGCTGCAATGAGCCATGATGGTGCCACTGCACTCCAGTCTGTGCAACATAGTGAGGCTCCATCTCTAAAAACAAACAAAAAACAAAAAAATTTAATAATAACATAAACATAGGAGAAATCACAATCTTGAGGTGCGCAAAAATTAGGATACCAGAAGCACTAAGAAAAAATGATGAAAAACAAAAAAGAAAATATTTAATAAATCAGATTTCACAAAGACATGGAATGCCCTATGGGGACTTAAAATGATGCTCTACATCCTTGTTCTTCAGAGAAATATCACACGAGACATTACACAGTAGAATAGCTAAAAATTACTAAGACTGACAATACCAAGTACTAGCAAGGATGTGGAATTCCTTGGTGACTCCTAGTGCTAAACTTGCCTCAGAGCCAATGGACAGGTGGTTGGGGGGCAACTGGTGCAGCTAAGGGAGTGCTTACACCACCTCTCCCCCAACCCAAGGCTGCACAATGTGCAGCTCCAAAAGAGACCCTGTCCTTCTGCTTGAGGAGAGGAGAGAGAAGAGTAAATACAGGACTCCATCTTGCATCTTGAATACCAGCTCAGCCATAGCTGGTAACCACTAAAGAGCCCTTAGGCCCTGAATAACCAGCACCAATAATCGGGTACTACACTGTGGCCTTCACTGTGTATCTGAGACTTGCTGGATTCAGGTGAGACTCAGCACATTCCCAGCTGTGGTGGCTATGGGGAGAGCCTCCTTCTGCTTGAGAAAAGTAAAGGGGGCTCTGTCTTGCGCCTTAGGTACCAGCTCAGCCACAGGGTGGTAGAACACCAAGAGGGATCTTGGGGTCTCCAGCCCCACGCCTTGGCTCTTGGATAGCATTTCTGGATCTGCCCTGGCCCAGGGGGTGCCCACTGCCCTGAAGGGTGAGTCCCAGGCCGGGCAGCTGACTGAAGAGTTCTTGGGCCTTAAGGGAACATCAGTGGTAGCCTGCCAGTACTACCTGTGGGTCTATGGTGGTGGCTACAGGGTGAGGCCCCTCTGCCTGTGAAAAGGGAAGAGTGGGAAGGACTGCCATTCATAGGTTGAATGCCAGCTCAGCCACAGTTCAATAGAACACCAGGTACAAGTCTAAGGTTTTTGACGCCAGTACCTGGGTCCCTGATGGCACCTCTGGACCCACCCTCAGGCCTGGGGGAACTTGCCACCCTGAAGGGAAAGACGCAGGCCTGGCTGGCTTCATCACCTGCTGATTGCAGAGCCCCAGGGCCTTGAGTGAACACCAGCTGTAGCCAGGTAATTGTTACAGCAGGCCTTGGGCAAGATCCAGTGCTGTGCTTAGCAATAATTCCCAAATCATATCCCTATCCTCTTAGCCTTTCTCTGAAATTCAAGATCAACATTTCCAATATTTTCTGGACATCTCTAAGTAGATGTATCCCAGATATTTTCATATCATAACTAGTAATATATTTTTTACGTTTTCTTGTATTTTAACTTCCCATAAGTTACACATTCAAATAAAATGTTCTCAAATAGCTGCTTTGATTAATTTTAGTACATACTTACTGATGAGCTATCAGATGACTCATTGTTTTTTTCATATTTCTGTTTCTTGCTCTTTTTTTTCTTTTCTTTCTTTGCTTTTTTTGAATGCTTGTCTTTTTTCTTCTTTTTCTTCACAGAGTGTTCCTACAATCATTTTGAACAGGCAAGAAAATAATTTAATTTCATCTTAATTTAAAAGGATGTATTCTGAGAGAAAAAAAATAAACCACATTCTAAAAAACTTTCAATCTCTGATGAAATAAGACCAAGAATATGTCTAAATAAATAAAATCTTTCAGGAAATCTTAACACACCTTCTATAATATATGCACTATCAATAAATCATATAACTGAGACTTCTTACCAGAAAAATACTGGGAAAATTTTGGCTTTATTTGTAGATTAATGTGACAAATATAATCAAATAAACACATATATACACAAACATGTATACATGCATCTATACACACACAAACACACATACATATAATATCCCTCTATGGTCTCCCCAAAAATTTATACAAGACTATTAGGCCATAAAAAATATAACAAGATAGCACAAATTAAAATTATAGGAAGAGGCTAGGGGAAGGAGCAAGGATAGGGAAAGGGAAGATGTTGATCAAAGGGTACAAAGTTTTCATGACACTAGAAATAAGTTTTAGTGATCTATTACTGATGACCACATTTAATAATAAGGTATTATCTATTTCAAAGCCATTGAAGAACAGACTTTTAACGTTCTCACCACAAAAAAATAAGTTGATGAGGTGATGGATATGTTCATTAGCTTGACTGAATCTTTCTATAATGTATACATAGATCAAACCATCACACTCTAACCCATAAATTTACACAATTATTATTTGTCAATTAAAAATAATTTTTAAAAAAATTATAGGAAAACAGGCTTGAGACCTAAAAAAATAAAATAAAATAAATACATAAAGCTTAAAATGCATAAATTTTTAGGCCTATAAGCTTGCTATAGTGGGCCAGAAATTTGAAGCTGTCTTCTACTAGCCAAACTCAAATAACAAAACTTGAGTCATAATGTCCAAAATATTACAATATCTTACCTCTGCCAAAGAGATGAAACTATTCAGCAATGCCAACTATGTGATATTCATTTTGTAACTTATGAAAACATTCTATAAAATTATTCATCCAATATTAACTTGAATACGTGCAAAAAAGGACAGATATCCTTACATCACGTAAACCTGTTAGTATTCACCTGTGAGAACTGTTCAATTCTCTCATTCACATCAGGTAGCATCCATGTATCCTCACCCCGAAGTCGCTTAAGTTCTTTACGCCTTTCTTCTTTTTCAAAATTGGCTTTAGCCTACAACCAAAGAAAAAAAAAAGACAAACTGGCAATTGACCCAACTGGGTTTCACAAAAAAAGGAAAACAAAAACCTCTGTCATTTTTATACAAAAATATCCACTCATGAATGAATGTCTATTCCTTGCCAGGGATTTGCTTCTCCAGTGTAAAAAAATAAAAAAATAAATAAATAAACAAAACAAAGCAAAAATCTCTCCTTCTGCATTTCCAATCTCCAGTGATTTGAGTTACCAATCAGAGAGAATCCAGGGACTGAGTCCAGGCCCTCCCATCTCTCTAAGCTCCCTAGCTCAATATGACTTGGAATCCCTTTTCCCTTCACCATTCCCATGGCTACTGCCTTAAGACTTTTGCAACAGTTAGACCTCCACGCCTTCAATATGCAATGCCTGTAGCCCCAATACCCAGCCCCAAAAATGCCTCAGGAAGAATCATCTCTGTATAAAGAAAGGATCATATTGGTAATTTTTATCCATTCTTCAATGATAGTCAAACAAAGCAAGTTTTTCCTAGGAAATCGTTCCTGCCCTCTTTCTTTCCCTGTAACTCCAAAGCTCAGTTTGGTCCTTTTCAAATTCTATGCATATCTCTACTATAAGATTTATCTCAACTTACGAAACTTACTCCCTCCAAAAACTGCTGGAAATACCAAAGAGAAAAGAATGAATAATATATATATACCCACACACACACATTACATATGTTGAAATTACGAAACAATACCAACATTTCACCTACCCAAGACTAATCGCCCACTCTTCCCCTTTAAAACCTGGCTGTAGTCATTTTCTTTTTTTTTTTAATCAAATATAAAAATAATTTATTAAAGGTTTATATCAGAGAACTGCTGAAGCAACAAGAACTAGAAGAGTTAATATTCCAGAAAAGGGAAAATCATGGAGAGGTAGTCCAACATTCTGCAGCTAGCTTTTCCCTGGGTGCATATAATAATTCTTGGTGTAGGCAAGAAGATGAATACAATGGTTATATACCAAACAGAAAAATCGATATCAGAGAAAAGAGCAGGGCTTATGATGGACTCCAAAGAACAGGGTGAGAAAATTGGAGATTAAAGGAGAATGGGGCTGCTTCACCCTCAAATTATTTGCCAAATTTTGAAACTATGTCATTTTCCCTTTAGAGTCTCCTCTCCCTCTTCTCTGCTGGCTCCTTCTCATTTGCATTTAAACTTGTTTAAAACTCTTCCAACTTAAATAAAAACAAAAACCCTCACTGAATTCTCTGTTGCTCTCCAACTGCAACTTTTCTCTTTCATTGCCACACTTCTTACATATTGAATAGATTGTCAGATAATTCAGAAGCTTACTTTCTCCATTCTTTGTATGTTACCTCTATGTATCTGAAGTTTAGTGAGAAATACAATGTTTCGCGATCTTTTGTGACAGGCTAAATATACTGAGATTGGTGTTAACTTTTGTTTGGATTGGTAAGAGCTTACAGTAAGTCTGGAATTGATACCAATAGAGACAGGAGGAGGAAATGTCAAACTGAGTCTATTCAAGTGTGACTTGAATGTGTTTCCGAAAAAGGAAAATCTCATTTCAGATACAGCAGTAGCAATGACTGAGGCTGCGAGACATGCTGGCAGAGTCCTTACAAGCCGCAGGGGACCTACAAAGTGTGCAGTCCGAGTGATAGAAATGTAAAGAATGGGTAACTTAAAAGGTAAAGAAACTTGGAGAAAAAGCGACAGATCTGCCTGAAAAGAGAATTAGCAACTGGCACCTGCCAGAACATCTAAAAAATCGGTAGCTACAAAAGGGTTTACCGGCATTGCAAAGGGAGAACTCACCCAAATTAAGGTGAGATTCAGTACTGACGAGGTAAGGGAAGGGGTGAGTGGGCTAGCTTACGGGAACCCTCAACTCCCACAACAATAAATAACTACAAAAGCCCCAAAACAGAGGTACCTGGCGCAACACCTCGGCCCTGGCATTCCGGGTCTGTTCTTTCCGCTCTTCGATACTCTTCGCACTTTCAAATCTACCACTAGCAGCCGCCATACTTGTTGCCATCGTAAAGCTAAGAAGCCGCAAGAAAATTCTAGTTTACGACGGTCGTAATTTAACAAACAAACCGGGACTTCCGGACCCGAGGAAGGAGGAGCACGGCTCCACCAACAGGGCATGCGCACATCTGAGGTCGCTTAGGGCTCGGATTACCGCAGCCCAGATTTTAAAGACCCGAAGGGTGTTGGAGGGTTTAATTCTTTCAGGTGTTGGGTGCGATTGTGAGCAGGATTAATACCCGTATATATTTATTATGCACTTTTTACTATATTAACAGCTTTCTCACCAATTTCGTCTTAAAATCACCGGAGTAAGTTACAAGCTCTTGGAAGTTAAGTTGGTACCTCTCAAAAGTTTTCTGCGGAAGTACCCTTTGTCGCCAGAGCATCATTTCCCTGTGCTGGAGGAATGGGATAAAGGGAGGCTGCCAGAAAGGTAGTGGCAGCTGGCAGGAAGGACAGAATTGCCTTGAAGATTCAGTGTTTTGTTTTGGTGGATTTTACTTAATATATGAAACACTCATGTGAATTTTGCATTGCACTTCACAATTTACCCGTGCTTAACTTGTTAGAAGTTTACATTATATTTTTTCCTCTGACCCCATATTATTTACTCATACTTATCCATCCAAGCATTTTTCATTACAATGGACAGTTACTTATTTATTTCTGCGGAGATTTCTTTGTTTTGTTTTACGCATGTATCGCCCAAACATAAAACTTTTAAGTTCAGAAGAATAAGACATTCTAAGGTGATGAAGTGCTTTGAGAACATAAGACACTAAGCTTACATTTACAAGAAGAAGAAGGCTGGGGAATTAATTATAAACGATACCTTAAAGACGCTAAAAATAAGTAACATAAGCCAGGTTGAGGTAAATACTCTTTCTCTTCAGGTTTCATAAAATTTAATGTGTGTTTGCAAGAAGCTTTCCAAGAGTTTTTACATTCACTACCATTCTATGAGTCTGAATCTTGAACACACAATGCCTACTTGTTTGATATGCAATAGAAAGTATTCATTTTATTTTAAAATGTAATTTACTAATCGACCTTGTAATATTTAATCAACTGACTACATTGACTGATATTTGTCATAACTAGCATCAACGTCTTTTCAGATTCTCTTGGAATTCAGAAAAACATCCATTTCACTGTTTTGCATCAATTCAATAAAAATAAACTGTGATTATATTAGAAACGTGTGTGTTTTAATCAGTTCAGGCTGCTATAACAAAATATTATAGAATGGATGGCTTATAAATAACAAACAAGTATGTCTTACAGTTCTGGAGGCTGGATAAAATCAAGGTGTTGGGCTATTTGCTGTCTAGTGAAGGTGTGTCCTGGTTCCTAGAGGGCAGTATTTTTGCTGTGTCTCATATGGCGGAAAGGGAGAGGGATCTCTCTAGAACTTCTTTTATAGGAATTCATGAGGGTGCTGCTCTCATGACCTAATCACCTCCCAGAGTCCCTACCTCCATATACCAGCACATTGGGGATTAGATTTCAACATAAGAATTTTGGGGAAACAAACATTCGGTCTAGAGCAATGTGCAAAGTTATATGAAGAAAACTTTAAAATCTTGCATAAGCTCCCCAAAAAGACTAGAACGAATGGAGAGGTATACTATGTGCTTAAAGAAGAAAACATCATAAAAAATCATTTCTCAATTAATTTGTAAATACCATGCAATACAAATAAAACTGCCCAAAAAAAAGTTGGGGTTAGAGAGGGGAACTAGATATGTTAAAATAGAAAAAAGAAAAGAAAAGAAAAGAAAGAAAAAGCAGGTTATTTTGGCTAGGTTTGCATTTGGCCACACCTAATGCGAATCCAGTCACATGGCTTAATCAAATAAAGGATAACGTAACAAGGAGCCTAAAAGTAACTGGTCCAGGCTTGGTGCAATTGCTGAAGGAGCCAAATAGTTTATCCTTTTTCGCTTTGTTGCAGTCTGTGACTTTAGTATTTGTAGTCACAAGCAGGGTATCATATTCTTTCACATCTGTTCACGGCATCTGATAAACAAGAATAAAGAGAAAGGACAAAGGGTAAACGTTGTTAGCTAAGCTGGCCTCATTTTTTATTAGAAAAATGATGGCTTTTCCTAAAGCCTAGTTCAGTTTCTTTCATTTAAATCCTATGATCCAGAAATAGGTCAGATGATCACAATTAACTACAAAAGTTTCATGAAGATTGCAGGATAGTTGTGTTATAGAATGTCACTCAACTTGGGTTTGTCGGAGGTTCTTTTGTGATTAAATTCAAATTTGGCCTCTTAAGCAGGACGATCACAGAAGTGAGGCGGTCTTACTGCATCCTGTTGGGTAGCGCATGATTTCCATTTGTTCCATTACAGGTGATGTTAATTCTGATCATTTAAATAAACTGGCATCTGCAGAGCTTCTCTGCTGTAAAGTACCTCTTTTCCTTCTATAATAAGTATTTTGTGAAGTGGTTCTTTGAAACTATGTAGATCATGTACCAAATTTTCAAGTTATTTATTTTTATATAATACAGATTCATAATTTCTCAGTGGATTCCTGTTTTTGTTCAGTGGGATAAAAATTCGTTATCAGTATTTATTTTGATCCTCAAATTGGTCCAGGTTAGGCCAGTGAGAGCCCTTTCAAGCTGGTTCCTGTGTCCTTTAGACATGTACCCACATTCTTTATATATATATATATATATATATATATATATATATATATATATATATATATATATATACTTTAAGTTCTGGGGTACATGTACAGAATGTGCAGGTTTGTTACATAGGTATACACGTGGTATGGAGGTATGCTGCACCCATCAACCCGTCATCTACATTAGGTATTTCTCCTAATGCTATCCCTCCCCCAGCCCCTCACCCCCCAACAGGCCCTGGTGTGTGATGTTCCCTCTCTGTGTCCATGTGTTCTCATTGTTCAACTCCCACTTATGAGTACATGCGGTGTTTGGTTTTCTGTTCTTGTGTTAGTTTGCTGAGAATGATGGTTTCCAGCTTCATCCATGTCCCTGCAAAGGACATAAACTCATCCTTTTTATGGCTGCATAGTATTCCATGGTGTATATGTAACACATTTTCTTAAACCAGTCTATCATTGATGGGCATTCGGGTTGGTTCCAAGTCTTTGCTATTGTGAACAGTGCAGAGATAAACGTACGTGTGCATGTCTTTATAGTAGAATGATTTATAATCCTTTGGGTATATACCCAGTAATGGGATTGCTGGGACAAATGTTATTTCTGGTTCTAGATCCTTGAGGAATCACCACACTGTCTTCCACAATGGTTGAACTAGTTTACACTCCCACCAACAGTGTAAAAGCATTCCTATTTCTCTACATCCTCTCCAGCATCTGTTGTCTCCTGGCTTTTTAATGATCGCCATTCTAATTGGCATGAGATGGTATCTCATTGTGGTTTGATTGGCATTTCTCTAATGACCAGTGAAGATGAGCTTTTTTTCATATGTTTATTGGCTGCATAAATGTCTTCTTTTGAAAAGTGTCTGTTCATACCCTTAGCCCACTTTCTGATGGGGTTGTTTTTTTCTTGTAAATTTGTTGAAGTTCTTTGTAGATTCTGGATATTAGCCCTTTGTCAGATGAACAGATTGCAAAAATTTTCTCCCATTCTGTAGGTTGCCTGTTCACTGATGATAGTTTCTTTTGCTGTGCATAAGCTCTTTAGTTTAATTAGATCCCATTTGCCAATTTCGGCTTTTGTTGCCATTGCTTTTGGTGTTTTAGTCATGAAGTGTTTGCCCAAGCCTATGTCCTGAATGGTATTGCCTAGGTTTTCTTCTAGGGTTTTTATGGTTTTAGGTCTTACATTTAAGTCTTTAATCCATCTTGAGTTAATTTTTGTATAAGGTGTAAGGAAGGGGTCCAGTTTCAGTGTTCTGCATATGCCTAGCCAGTTTTCCCAACACCATTTATTAAATAGGGAATCCTTTCTCCATTTCTTGATTTTGTCAGGTTTGTCAAAGATCAGATGGTTGTGGATGTGTGGTGTTATTTCTGAGGCCTCTGTTCTGTTCCATTGGTCTATATATCTGTTTTGGTACTAGCACCATGTTGTTTTGGTTACTGTAGCCTTGTAGTATAGTTTGAAGTCAGGTAATGTGATGCCTCCAGCTTTGTTCTTTTTGCTTAGGATTGTCTTGGCTATGCAGGCTCTTTTTTTGTTCCATATGAAATTTAAAGTAGTTTTTTCTAATTCTGTGAAGAAAGTCAATGGTAACTTGATGGGGATAGCATTGCACCTATAAATTACTTTGGACAGTATGGTCATTTTTACAGTATTGATTCTTCCTATCCATGAGCATGGAATGTTTTTCCATTTGTTTGTGTCCTCTCTTATTTCCTTGAGCAGTGGTTTGTAGTTCTCCTTGAAGAGTTCCTTCACATCTCTTATAAGTTGTATTCCTAGGTATTTTATTCTCTTTGTAGCAATTGTGAATGGGAGTTCACTCATGATTTGGCTCTCTGTTTGTCTGTTATTGGTGTATAGGAATGCTTGTGATTTTTGCACATTGATTTTGTATCCTGAGACTTTGCTGAAGTTGCTTATCAGCTTAAGGAGATTTTGGGCTGAGACGGTGGGGTTTTCTAAATATACAATCATGTCATCTGCTAACAGAGACAATTTGACTTCCTCTCTTGCTATTAGAATACCCTTTATTTCTTTCTCTTGCCTGATTACCCTGGTCAGAACTTCCAATATTCAATGTTGAATAGGAGTGGTGAGAGAGGGCATCCCTGTCTTGTGCCGGTTTTCAAAGGGAATGCCTCCAGTTTTTGCCCATTCAGTATGATATTTGCTGTGGGTTTGTCATAAATAGCTCTTATTATTTTGAGATACATTCGATCAATACCTAGTTTATTAAAGAGTTTTTAGCATGAAGGGGTGTTTAATTTTATTGAAGGCCTTTTCTGCATCTATTGAGATGATCATGTGGTTTTTGTCATTGGATCTTTTTAAGTGATGGTTTACATTTATTGATTTGCATATGTTGAACCAGCCTTGCATCCCAGGGATGAAGCCGACTTGATCATGGTGGATAAGCTTTTTGATGTGCTGCTGGATTCGGCTTGCCAGTATTTTATTGAGGATTTTCACATCAATGTCCATCAGGGATACTGGCCTGAAATTTTTTGTTGTTGTTGTTGTGTCTCTGCCAGGTTTTGGTATCAGGATGATGCTGACCTCACAAAATGAGTTAGGGAGGAGTCCCTCTTTTTCTATTGATTGAAATAGTTTCAGAAGGAATGGGACCAGCTCCTCTTTGTACCTCTGGTAGAATTCGGCTGTGTATCCTTCTGGTCCTGGACTTTTTTTTGTTGGTAGGCTATTAATTACTACCTCAATTTTAGAACTTGTTATTGATCTATTCAGGGATTCGACTTCTTCCTGCTTTAGAATTGAGAGGGTATATGTGTCCAGAAATTTATCCATTTCTTCTAGATTTTCTAGTTTATTTGCATAAAGGTGTTTATAGTATTCTCTGATGGTAGTTTGTATTTCTGTGGGATCAGTGTTGATATCCCCTTTATCAATTTTATTGCACCTATTTGATTCTTCTCTGTTTTCTTCTTTATAGTCTGGCTAGTGGTCTATTTTGTTGATCTTTAAAAAAAACAGCTCCTGGATTCATTGATTTTTTGAAGGGTTTTTCATGTCTCTATCTCCTTCAGTTCTGCTCTGATCTTAGTTATTTCTTGTCTTCTGCTAGCTTTTGAATTTGTTTGCGCTTGCTTCTCTAGTTCTTTTAATTGTGATGTTAGGGGGTCAATTTTAGATCTTTCCTACTTTCTCTTGTAGTCATTTAGTGCTATAAATTTCCCTCAAAGCACTGCTTTAGCTGTGTCCCAGAGATTCTGATACGTTGTGTGTTTGTTCTCATTGGCTTCAAAGAACTTATTTATTTCTGCCTAATTTCATTATTTACCCAGTAGTCATTTAAGAGCAGGTTGTTCAGTTTCCATGTAGTTGTGCAGTTTTGATTGAGTTTCTTCATCCAGAGTTCTAATTTGATTGCACTGTGGTCTGAGAGACTGTTATGATTTCCATTCTTTTGCATTTGCTGAGTAGTGTTTTACTTCCAATAATGTGGTCAATTTTAGAATAAGTGTGATGTGGTACTGAGAAGAATGTACATTCTGTTGATTTGGGGTGGAGAGTTCTGTAGATGTCTATTAGATCTGCTTGGTCCATAGCTGAGTTCAAGTCCTGGATATCCTTGTTAATTTTCTGTCTTGTTGATCTGTCTAAAATTGACAGTAGGGAGTTAAATTATCCCACTATTATTGTGTGGGAGTCTAAGTTTCTTTGTAGGTCTTCAAGAACTTGCTTTATGAATCTGGGTGCTCCTGTATTGGGTGTATATATATTTAGGATAGTTAGCTCTTCTTGTTGCATTGATCCCTTTACCATTATGTAATGCCCTTCTTTGTCTCTTTTGATCTTTGTTAGTTTAAAGACTGTTTTATCAGAGACTAGGATTGCAACCCCTGCTTTTTTTTTACTTTACATTTGCTTGGTAAATATTCCTTCATCCCTTTATTTGGAGCCTATGTGTGTCTTTGCACATGAGATGGGTCTCCTGAATACAGCACACCGATGGGCCTTGACTCTTTATCCAATTTGCCAGTCTGTATCTTTTAGTTGGGACATTTAGCCTGTTTACTTTTAAGGTTAATATTGTTATATATGAATTTCACCCTGTCATTATGATGCTAGCTGGTTATTTTGCCCATTAGTTAATGCAGTTTCTTCATAGTGTCAATGGTCTTTACAATTTGGTATGTCTTTGCAGTGGCTGGTACCAGTTGTTTCTTTCCATGTTTAGTGCTTCCTTTAGGAGCTCTTGTAAGGCAGGCCTGGTGGCGATAAAATCGCTCAGCATTTGCTTGTCTGTAAAGGATTTTATTTCTCCTTCACTTATGAAGCTTAGTTTGGCTGGATATGAAATATCAGGTTGAAAATTCTTTTCTTTAAGAATGTTGAATATTGGCCCCCACTCTCTTCTGGCTTGTAGGGTTTCTGCAGAGAGATCTGCTGTTAGTCTGATGGGCTTCCCTTTGTGGGTAACCCGACCTTTCTCTCTGGCTGCCTTTAATATTTTTTCCTTTATTTCAATCTGATAATTATATGAATCTGATGATTATGAGTCTCATGATTATGTGTCTTGTGGTTGCTCTTTTTGGGGAGTATCTTTGTGGTGTTCTCTGTATTTCCTGAATTTGAATGTTGGCCTGTCTTGCTAGGTTGGGGAAGTTCTCCTGGATAATATCCTGAAGAGTGTTTTCCAACTTGGTTTCATTCTCCCTGTCACTTTCAGGTACACCAATCAAATGCAGGTTTGGTCTTTTCACATAGTCCCATCTTTCTTGGAGGTTTTGTTCATTCCTTTACATTCTTTTTGCTTTAATCTTGTCTTCATGCTTTATTTCATTAGGTTGCTCTTCAATCTCTGATATGCTTTGTTTTGCTTGATCGATTCAGCTATTGATACTTGTGCATGCATCATGAAGTTCTCGTGCTGTGTTTCTCAGCTCCATCAGGTCATTTATGTTCTTTTCTAAACTGGTTATTCTAGTTAGCAGTTCCTGTAAGCTTTTATGAAGGTTCTTAGCCTCCTTGCATTGGGTTAGAACATGCTCCTTTAGCTCGGAGGAGTTTGTTATTACCCACCTTCTGAAGCCTGTTTCTGTCAGTTCATCAAACTCATTCTCTGTTCAGTTTTGTTCCCTTTTTGGGAAGGAGTTGTGATCCTTTGGAGGAGAAGAGGCATTCTGGTTTTTGGAACTTTCAGCCTTTTTATGCTGGTTTCTCCCCATCTTCATGGATTTATCTACCTTTGGTCTTTGATATTGGTGACCTTCAGATGGGGTTTCTGAGTGGACGTCCTTTTTGTTGGTGTTGATGCTGTTCCTTTCTGTTTGTTAGTTTTCCTTCTAACAGTCAGGCCCCTCTGCTGCAGGTCTGCTAGAGTTTGCTGGAGGTCCACTCCAGACCCTGTTTGCCTGGGTATCATCAGCGGAGGCTGCAGAACAGCAAAGATTGCTGCCTGCTGGGAGGTGTCTCCCAGTCAGGAGGCACGGGGGTCAGGGACCCACTTGAGGAGGCAGTCCAACCCTTAGCAGAGCTCAAACACTGTGCTGGGTGATCTGCTGCTCTCTTTAGAGCTGGCAGGCAGGGATGGACGTTTAAGTCTGCTGAAGCTGCTCCCACAGCCGCCCCTTCCCCCAGGTGCTCTGTCCCAGGGAGATGGAAATTTTATCTATAAGCCCCTGCCAGGGGCTGCTGTCTTTTTTTCAGAGATGCCTTGCCCAGAGAGGAGGAGTCTAGAGAGGCAGTCTGGCTACAGCGGCTTTGCTGAGCTTTGGAGGTCTCCACTCAGTTGGAACCTCCCTGTGCTTTGTTTAAACTGCGAGGGGAAAACTGCCTACTCAAGCCTCAATAATGGTGGTCGTCCCTCCCCCGACTAAGCTAAAGTGTCCCACGTCGACTTCAGACTGCTGGGCTGGCAGCGAGAATTTCAAGCCAGTGAATCTTAGCTTGCTGGGTTCCATGGGGGTGGTTTCTGCTGAGCTAGACCACTTGGCACCCTGCCTTTAGTCCCCTTTCCAGGGAAGTGAATGGTTCTGTCTTGCTGGCATTCCAGGCACCACTGGGGTATGAAAAAAAACTCCTGCAGCTAGCTCAGTGTCTGCCCAAACAGCTGCCCAGTTTTGTGTTTGAAACCCAGGGCCCTGGTAACATAGGCACCGGAGGGAATCTCCTGGTCTGTGGGTTGTGAAGACCATGGGAAAAGCATAGTATCTGGGCTGGATAGCACCGTCCCTCATGACACAGTCTCTCATGGCTTCCCTTGGCTAGGGGAGGGAGTTCACTGACCCCTTGCACTTTCCAAGTAAGGCAACACCCCGCACTGCTTAGGCTCGCCCTCTGTGGGCTGCACCCACTGTCTAACCAGTCCCAATGAGATGAGCTGGGTACCTCAGTTGAAAATGCAGAAATCACCCGCCTTCTGCATTGATCTCACGGGGAGCTGCAGACCGGAGCTGTTTCTATTTGGCCATCTTGCCAGACTCTCCTATAGTAAGTCTTAAAATTAGGTAATGTGAGTCCTCCAACTTTGTTCTTCTTCAGTTATTGTGCTGGCTCTTTGAGGCTTTTTTTTCCTTCCATATAAAATTAAGAATCAGTTCGTCAATATCTTCAAAATTGCTTGCTGGGCATACTGTCACATTTTATATAAATAGTTTATATTTTTAGAAAACTAGATTAAGTTTTTCCAAATATGGAAATATGTTGTAATACTAAGTATGCTTATAATATTAAATATAATTCTTCAATCTATGTAAGACTAGAGATTCTGACATGCCCTCCCCTGAAGTGCAAGAATCAAGAGTATTCCTGACTTAGACCTTCCATACCACAGAGAAACATAATTTGCTTCTGTCAGTCTTTTCAAAATAATAGCTCCTAAAGGTAGTTTATTAACCAAAACATATAGGGCTTAATATGTGCCAGGTAGTGTTCTAAGTACTTTATAAAAGTTAATTCATTTAATCCATAAATGATTATCTGTGGCTTATAATTTCATTTGAATTATATAAGTGTTAATATTATAATGCCTACTTTTTAGATGCTATAAGTGTTATTATTATAATGCCTACTTTTTAGATGAAGAACTGAGGAATGGAGATGTTAAATAATTTGCCAGAGTTCATACCATTAGTAAATTGTAGACCCAGGGTTTGAGTTAAGTTAGTCTAGCTCCCCTGTATACATACTTAACCACTATTCTGCATTGTTTTTCAATGACAGATGAGAAACTTCAGCCTTAAACGAGTCATTTCTTTCTTGTCAAGGAGTAGAAGTGGTTGGATAATAATTTAAACAAAATAAAGCATTAATTTGCTTATTCTAAAAACATCTGAGGGACTCACCATGTACAAGTTATTACCCAAGTTTTTCTTTGCTACTTTTTAATAGATACAGAAATGAGTTAATCAATCTTAATTGTGCCAAATGAGTTTCACATTGTAAAATTGACTTGGAAGACTTTCGTGATAGAAAACAAAATTATGAGACACAGATAAAGCCTATAAAACTTGATGTCTTTGGCTCAAAACTAAAGTGCATAAACATTATTTTATGTTTGTTCTATTTTTATATGACCACACTGAACAGATAATTATGTCTAATCCATGTTTCTTTAAGATCATAACTAATACATGTTTTAGAACCAGGCACTGGGAAGAGAATGAGGGCTCAGATACTGGGGCCAAAAGTGAATCTACTTTTCATGGTATTCCTTGATTTCCTTGGTGTAGGTTCTTTGGTGATGGCATTTATCACAATAAAGAATTATAGCAACAAAATGACCACAGTGGTACATTTTCCATCTTGAAGACCATAGTCTATAAAATGTTGCTCTCTTGGCACCAGAAAGCTCATATTTTTTCTGAGTAAGATTTGACAGCTGCTGTGTAAATAAAATATAAAGTTTACACAGAGATTTTAAAATTTCATTTCCAGTATTCTGAACTTTAGAAACAAGCTATTTCATTGATACTACTCATACATATGATCACTCACTCAATCTATATACTTTCAAGACTTGGCTAAAAACCACTTCCTCAGATGAATCTGACGGATTCCACAGGGATGGAATATTTGTTCCCACACCACTTTTCCTTTCCTCTGCTAAATCACTGTATTTAGTCGGGTATAGGCTAAGCTGCTGTAACAGAGGAACCCCAGAATACAGCAGGTAAATGAGACAGGTGTGAACACTGTTGGCTAATGGTCCACCCATAGGAGGATAGTCAGAGACAGGTGATGGCGCTTCTCCACCATCCAGGGGCCCAGATTCCTTGTGGCTCCACCAGCCTCTAGAGTATTTCCTCATATTCAAGTTCAAAGTTGGCCCAGTGCCATCACATCTGTATGTCAGCCCACAGGGAGCGTGAATAAGCAGATGGCAGACAAGCAGTTTCATTAGAGAATGTGATCCCAAAGTTGTACATATCATTTTGTACACATCCCATTGGCTAGAACGTTAGTCCCATGATCACCACTAGTTGCAGCAGAGTCTGGAAAATGTGGTTTCTAGCTGAGCAAACATGTGCTCAGCTAAAACTCAGGAAGTTCTATAAATAAAAAGTAGAAAGTGGAATAGATATTGGGGGATAATTAACCATCCCTATCATGAACACTTGACACATCATTGTAATTATTTATTTTTCATGTATGTTCCTCCTGGACATATAAACCCTTGATAGGGATCATGTCAAATGTACCTTTATCCCCAGCGCCTAATATGGTGCCATGGTACGTGCTCAATAAATCTTTTCTTGATTGAATTCAGATTTGCTTAATCTTTCACTGCAAGAGTACTCCTTTTTCTCATTTTCAAGAATTACCTTCACCAATAAGCCTTCCCAGACTAATGTTTCTGCCAGTCAGAAATTGACACTCTGGTAGCCACTAACCACATGTGCCTATTTTGATTTTAAATTCAGTTTTTCAGTCATGTTGCTAGAGAATATATATTGGAGAAAACAGATATAGGATGTTTTCATCATCACAGAAAGTTCTATTGGACAATGCTGGTCTAGGAATTTTTATTAGCCCTTTTATACACATTTGCATGGTGTATGGCTGTTAATTTTCACACGTTGCTATAGTGTGTTGGTTTCTCCATCATCAACTTAAGGGGGAACACAAAGAGGATGATTACATTGGTACTAAGTGGGTGCCTTGATAATTTGACTGTTAGATATGGAAAGAAAGAACTTTAGAAATAATCTGCTCCAACCCAGTAATTTCAAAGAGGAGGAAACTGAGGTCCAAACAAATGAGTTCCCTTATCCCAGCTCACCCCCAGAGGCTGCTGATTTTTCCTCTTCTGCTTTACACATTAGAATAAAATATACAGGGGCAAGATATTATAGAAGAGTGCTACCAATGGATAGACCAAATTCATTCATAAATTCAACATTTACTGAGGTTCTTTATATCAAATTATCTGATAGGCCCCAAGGCCCTGCCCTCACTAAGCTTATATTCTAGTGGAAAGAAGGAATCTTCCTCCACCTTTGTTTAACCAGTCACCTACATCTAGAAACTTTAAATATGCATCTTCAACCCATCAGAGGCCAACAATACATTTCCCTTTATTCTGCACATGTTCTGTCATTTATGCGTGCTATTCCCTCAGCCTGGGATGCTCTTTTTAAATTATGTGAATGTCTATTCAGTTTCAACAAAATACAATCAGAGAAGTTTTGTTTCTACGCTTGTTTCTCCCTCTCTTTCCTCACTCCTCTATAGGTAATCATTATTATTAACCTTTGGTAATTCTTCTTTGGTTTCTTTTTAAAACTATAAGCACAAAAGGAAGCATACCAGACATTATGTACCTTACGATGCAATAGGAAGTATATAGAATCACTGACAAGGTATTTTTATCACAAACAAAAACCAGTGAATTCAACCCAGCCTTCAGGCTTATTTTATTGGAAACACTGGAGCTAGAGAAAAGGTTAAGGGATGCTACTGGGAAGCAATTGACCAGATCCATTAAGTTGGGTGCCTCAACTCAGGCAAAGATAAAATGAAAGAAAAACAGTAATCTTGAACCCCACCTCTTTCACCTCTTCTCTGTTTTTCTTAATGAGTCACTTATTGCTTGTGAATGAAATAGTTTACTATAGAAAGACATGCAGGGATGATGCACAATGTTTGCACATGTGGATGGAGAGGGGAGAAAGAGCAGAGGACTAAGATCTTTATTCTATCCTCACCTCAGAAATAGATATATTTATTTATCTATTTAAATTATTATTTATTTTTAACTTTTTACAAATCATTTGTAATGATTTGCTATTTAAAATCATTAGTTTTAATTTATTTATAATTTTAATTTTATTTTTAAAATGTTTATTTTTATCTTATATGGCAAGTTCTTGTGTTCTTACTAAATTGTTGACTCTAAATTGTTGTTTGTAAAAGTAAAATGTAGATATGCCTAATGGAAAAAAAGATGGCTCTGAAATGTTCTTTTCCAAGAACAGTATGGCTTTTGGGTTTTGATATGCATTGAAGATATTTAATAGCAAGCTGATATTTTTGTTTTGCCTCTGTTATCTTGTTTTAGAGACTTTCCAATCTTCTGATTTATCAGAGAGGACTCATAAGGAAAATTGTAGACTGGTGATTTTATGGTAATGATATTCTAAGAGTGCCTTACTCTTCCTTTTTGTCCCCCTTGTCCAGGGGGACAACTGAATGATTGGATTCAAATACATTTTACTCATTTATTCAACAAACATGTATCAGACACAGAATATGTGCCAGACACTGCATAAAAACTTAAGTCTCCAAAGATGAAAGCCATTGGCCCCATCTTCAAAAGCTTAGAATCTTGCAAGGAAGGCAAACAAGTAAACCAGAAGTTACTCACCAACTGTATTAGTCTGTTCTCATGCTAATAAAGACATACCTGAGACTGGGTAATTTTTAAAAGAAAGAGGTTTAATTGACTCACAGTTCCACCTGGCTGGGGAGGCCCCACAATCATGGTGGGGCAAGGAGGAGAAAAGTCACATCTTACATGGAGGCAGGCAAGAGGGAAAATGAGAACCAAGCAAAATGGGTTCCCCTTATAAAAACCATCAGATCTTGTGAGACCTATTCACTACCATGAGAACAGTATGGGGGAAACTGCCCCTAAGGTTCAATTGTCTCCCACCAGGTCCCTCCCACAACATGTGGGAATTATGGGAGCTATATTTCAAGATGAGATTTGGGTGGGGACTCAAATCTCTAGTCTCTTTGGAGAGTCAGCTTTTATGTAGTGCCCAGCACATATTCTATGTCTGATACATGTTGGTTGAATAAATGAGTAAAAAGTTTTTGAATTCAATCATTCAGTGACCTGGACAAGGGGGACAAAAAAGAAGAGTAAGGGGACACAACGCAACGATATCACCAACCTTGTTCTTTACAAAAACCAACCATGTTCCTGCCTCAGGTCATTTACGCATGCTATTCCCTCAGCCTAGGATGCTCTTTTTAAATTATGTGAATGTCTATACAGTTTCAACAAAATGCAGTCAGAGAAGTTTTCTTTCTATGCTTGTTTCTCCCACTCTTTCCTCACTCCCCTATAGGTAATCATTGTTATTAACCTTTGGTAGTTCTTCTTTGGTTTCTTTTTAAAACTATAAGCACAAAAGGAAGCATACCAGACATTATGTACCTTATGATACAATAGGGAAGTATATAGAATCACTGACAAGGCATTTTTATCAAAAACAAAAACCAGTGAATTCAACCCAGCCTTTAGACCTTTTTTACTGGAAACATTGGAGCTACAGAAAAAGGTTAAGGGACACTACGAGGAAGCAATTGACCAAACCCAGAATTCTACTAGACAAATAATACATCCCGAGATCATTCCATAGCAAGATATATATCTCATCCCAATTCCTTTTTATAGCTGCATAGTATCCTGTTACAAGAATTTATTTAAATTCATTTATGGCCTATTTTCCCCCACCAAAAAATAAGTTCTATTAAGGTAGAGATTTTAGGCTATTTTTGCTTCAGTGCCTAAAACAGTGCCTACCATAAATATATGTTGATTGAATGAATTTCAAGGCACGCAGTGGCTCTGATACAAAAATCCTTGGGATGATTGCAGGACGGAGGGTGAAGGATACTCTTAGGTCAGGACTAAGTTTCAGGGTTGAAACTTCTGAAAAGGTTTCCCATAGGCAGTAATACTAAACTGCATCTTGAAAAACCTGTAACAGGTAGCAGGATAAAGGTGTGGGGGAAGAGGGAAAGGTGCCTTCTGGGCAGACAGCACAGAATGACCAAACGGACAGAGGCACGAGGAAACATGGTACATTCAGGGCATGGGATCAGGTAAATTGACTGCCCCTATATATAACAAATTAGCTAGGATGAATTAGAATGATCTCTTCCTCTGATGTAACAACTTGGGAAGAATCTTGCTTCTTTGAATGTCACTCGACACCTGACTCTACTCCTGGGCTTCTTCCTTGAAAAATCTACAGAGGTTGAGAACTAGTGCTGCTTAAGCCCAGGTACAAGAGGCATTTCCATCACCCTAAGGAAAAATGCCCCAGCTGTGAAATTATCTCCTGCCAAGGGACCAAAGGAGGTCCTTCTTTGTCTTCTTTACATTCCCAATAAATAGGTCTCTGTATCAAGAGGCTGGGCATTATAAGTGATTCATTCAGTTAACTGAAATAGTAAGCAAAGGAAGATTGGAATATGCCATTTCCCTTTCCTTTTTGCCTCGGGCTAACTCAGAGATATCTGGAACATGTATATCTGTATTAGTCAGGGTTCTCTAGAGAGATAGAACTAATAGGATAGATGTATACATGAAGGGGAGTTTATTAAGGAATATTGACTCACACAGTCACAAGGTGAAGTCCCACAATAGGCCATCTGCAAGCTGAGGAGCAAGGAAGCCAGAGTCCCAAAACCTCAAAAGCAGGGAAGCCAACAGTGCAGCCTTCAGTCAATGGCCAAAGGCCTGAGAGCCCCTGGCAAACAACTGGTGTAAGGCTGAGTCCAAAAGCTGAAGAACTTGGAGTCTGATGTTCAAGGGCAGGAAGCATCCAGCATGGGAGAAAGATGAAGGTCAGAAGACTCAGCAAGACTGCTCCTTCCACCTTCTTCTACCTACTTTATTCCAGCCTCACTGGCAGTTGATTAGATGGTGCCCACCCACATTGAAAGTGGGTCTGCCTCTCCCAGTCCACTGACTCAAATGTTAATCTTTTTTGGCAACACCTTCACAGAAACATCCAGGAACAATATTTTGCATCCTTCAATCCAATCAAGTTGACACTTAATATTAACCATCTCAATATCCAAAGGGAGTAGTCTGATTAGTAACTGGATTCATGTGTCTAGGGTAACAATTTGTAAGAAGCCATAAACTTTGCAGTTCTCTGGACTTGGAACCTCATCTTTTAAATTCCAGATCAGGTTATAACCGAAAGAAGCAGCAGCCTCTTGGAGACTGTCTGATTTGATTCATTTTATTAGGGAGGCTGCACATCGCACAGCTGGTGCATCTCAGGCAAGGATAAGCAGCCAAGGCAGAGTTGATTAGAGGGTCTGCGCCACCTTCTCATCCAGTACCACAGGCATCCAAGAGAGCATGCCATGAAATATTGTCTAACCACTCTGGTATGGTTTACACAGAGACCTTGTGTCTTTATCTTTAAAAGGCAATTTTATTGTTGAGAAGAAACACCCATGAGCCCTTCTACTGAAGAGAGTCACAGGAAATGAGCACATCAAAAATCTAAAGGCTAGATTTTGATACCTTTTTCCTTCCCTTCCCTGTCCCCCACCTATCATGCAATGTAGAGGAGAGACCATGCTGACATTGATACAGCTAAGGTCAGAGCTACCAGCTGAGCCCTGGCTTACAATGACAAATTGCCTGTGTCTGCATCATCTTACAGGGTCTTCTCTGCCCTGTCCCCTCACTATTACCACCACCACCACCATGTAAAGATATATGCAGACCTGTGAGACCTGATTCCAGATTCTGACATTGTTCAGCCCTATTCCTCACTGAAGACAGCTAAGCTTAAGGAACAATGAGCTTTTGGTTTTTGGTTGTTTTTTTTTTTAAATTTTTCTTGTTTCTTTTTTAAAAAATTGTTTAAAATGTATTCTTAGAGATCTCTATTCTAATCCTTTTTACTTTTGAAAGAGTCCCAGTTTGGGTAAGTCATATGTCCACTCTCTTATTAAGCTGAACTTTTTTCCTTTTCAGCATAAGGCTGCCTATCTTTAGGTGAAGGTAGGGTTCAAGGAAAGGCCAAGAGCCTTCTCTCGCAATGTGCTGAAGTCAGTAACACAGATTTAAAAGTCCCTGTTTTCCAGCGACTAGAGCACTACTTTAAGAGGTATTAATGAGTCCATCAAGTAAAGTGAAAGTTTATTAAGAAAGTAGAGGAGTAAAAGAATGGCTACTCCATAGACAGAGCAGACCCAAGGGCTGCTGGTTGCCCATTTTTATGGTTATTTCTTGATGATATGCTAAACAAGGGGTGGATTATTCGTGCCTCCCTTTTTTAGACCATATAGGGTAACTTCCTGGTGTTGCCATGGCATTTGTAAACTGTCATGGCACTAAATGGAGTGTAGCAGTGAGGATAACTGGAGGTCACTCTCATTGCCATCTTGGTTTTGGTGTGTTTTAGCCGGCTTCTTTACTGCAAGCTGGTTTATCAGCAAGGTCTTAAGGACTAAGCTCTGATTTTTTTTAAATCTTGCCCAAATTCCTACCTAAGGGGTCTGGGGAGTCATGCCCTACAAACCATAAATTCTCATCAGATGGGTTTTATTTAACCCTGTATATAGTGACTTACTTTCCAATATGACTCTGGCATAACAAGGAAGAAAATCAAAATGTTTTATCCCAAAAGATATTTCCTTGCCATACCTTGAAATTGCCCTGCAAAGTCTCTTGTGAGAAAAATCCACATCCTATAGAGAATCCCCTTTCCCCTTTGTTTTCCTTCCTTCCTTTCCAGATCCAGGAGATAATCAACTAAGA